>NC_000024.10:1726351-1949345 GCF_000001405.40 Homo sapiens | reverse complement strand
GATCTTGGTTCTTGTTATGACTGGCACAACTACGTAGGAACAATCTGAATGGGAGATAGCTTTTTGTGGGACACCACAAGGAAATTGTATATTCTATGACACAAGCTCACAACTCCCTGCTTTCCACTGCAAGCGGTGGCTCATTACTGGCTGGGACGTATCCTTGGATTAATGTATGCACGCCTCTCTTCCTTGTTTCAGAGAACCATAACACCCTGAGTGCAGAACCCCTGTAATTAGAGCTGTCGTTGTTGCCTCCCCACAGCAAGAAAGCTTTTGCAAGTTTAATCTCATCACTGAGAAAGCTTTTAGAGACTTCAAAGAAAGTATTTGATGCTGGGCTTTTCCTTCCACCCAGTGAAAAATGTGTCGAAGGAAACGTAACTAAGTTTTAAATATTCCCCTCCTTTTTTGTGTGTGTGCGGTTTTGTCATTTATTGTGTAGCATAAGTCTACAACTGTTTATTTATTTTGTTGTTTGGTAATTATATTATTCCATAAGCCTTTTCACAATCAATGAGCTATAAAGATGAAAGTGTATCCAATAAAAACTAAGCTTCCTTAAAAAAAAAAAATCTGACCTACTAGGTTTGTCTCTTAAAGACTATCCTCTCTTTCATTTTACTTGTTACTGCTTACTTGGCGATTTCTTTTGGAGAAGGTCTAGACTTGGTCAGATTGGATTTTAGAAATTGTACCATTTGATACTCCTTCTTCTCCTCTTCCTCCTTCTCCTTTTCCTTCTACTCCCTCTCTTTTTTCATCTTTTCTTGTTCTCCTTCTTCATTTACTATTTCTCCTCCTCCCACTGTCTGTCCTTGTCCTCCTCCTCCCTCCTCCTTCTACCCTCTCCTCCCCCTCCTCTTCCTCCTCCTCCCCTCTCTTCCTCCTCCTCCCTTCTCCTTCTCCTCCTCCTCCTCCTGTCTCCTCCTCCCCTCCCTCCTCCTCCCCTCTCCCCTCTTCCTCCCCTCTCCCCTCCTCCTCCCCTCTCCCCTCCTCCTCCCCTCTCCCCTCCTCCTCCTGTCTCCCCTCCTTCTCTCTCCTCCTCCCCCTCTTCCTCCTTCTCTCCTTTCCTCCTCCTCCTCCCCCTCTTCCTCCTTCTCTCCTTTCCTCCTCCTCCTCCCATCTCCTCCTCCCCTCCTCCTCCTCTCCTTTTCTCTTCCTCCTCCCTCTCCTCCTCCTCCTTCTACCCTCTCCTACCACTTCTCTTTTTACTCCTCCTCCTTCTCCCCCTCCTCCTTCTCCTCCTCTTTCTTCCTCCCCTCTCCTCCTCCCCTGTCTTATTCCTTCTTCTCTCCCTCCTTCTCTCCACCTCTTTCCTTTCCCTGCTCAGCCACACACACATACACCATAGCTTCTGGCTGTCTTCCCTTTCCTTCCAGGTTCCAGTAAACATCCACTGATTCAAGAGAGAGGCTAAACAAGAACAATTTCTTTGAGCAACTTGGCCAGATGCTGAATTCTTAGTGGCTGATTCCCCTGGGACTCAGGTCCTTCCCCTACCTTCTGCACCTATCTTTTCCTGAGAAAACAGTCAGTGACCAGGCTCTGCTCTGCACGGAGCCCTCAGATAATGTCTGCTAAACGTCTCCTTGAGGAGTGTGATGTTGCAGGTGAATTCAGCATCTGGGAGGGTGAAGCGCGTGTGTCATTAAAATGCAGCCACATGGTGGTGGACCCTGGACCAGGACTAAAATAGCTCCTCGCTCTGCCCACTTTTTTTATCCTTTCCCTGGTGTGTTCCGGCTGGCAGTCCTCACCATACGCTAATCAGCAGGTCAGTTACACTGATGTCCAAAAACCTGGGCTTTGAGCGATGTACATGCTATGTGTGCATATATATATATATATATATATATATATATATATATGTATATATATATATATATATACATACACGGAGGTTACAAAGGCAACCAACCACAGACGGTGCCCATTGCTGGTTCTCCAGGTGACCCAGGTACATGTCCCTGAGTTTCATCTCTTTCCTTTCGAGAATTTAGTCAGGATGTCACGTTCACCAGACTTGACACAGCAGCTGTGGCTTTTTCAAAGGGCAGCTCCAAGTCCAGATGGAACCGTAAAACAAGACACGAAAAACGTGATTAAAGAACGTACGCGTTAGAGTTCGCATGGCATATATATACATAAAATAATAGAAAATAAAAAATTATAAATATTTTATATTCATAATATAAAATATATATTTCCTGTGTGTACATTATATATAAATATTACAAATATATATAAAATATATTTAATATATTATGCATATATAATAATAGTTATAGTTAATAAATTAACTATAAAATATGTATATTATATTACATATGTATTATATATATTTATATTACATATGTATTATATATTATATTTATAATATATTTATTTATAATATATTAATATTATATTACATACTATTAATATATTATATATTCTATAATATATTTATATAAATATATTTATATATAATTTATATTATATATTTATATATTTATATATAATTTATATTATACAATACATATATATTTATATTATATATTTTATATAGTATACATATATAATATATAAACATATTATATATTTATATATTAATAAATATATAAAAATATATATTAATGTATAATGTATATTAATATATAAATAAATATGTATTATATATTATATAACATATAATATAATATATAATATAATATATAATATAATATAATATATAATGTAATATATAATATAATATAATATATAATATAATATAATATATAATATAATATATATTATATATAATTTTTAATATTGCTTATGTTATATATTGTATATTATATTATATAATATATTACATATATAATGTTTATATATGTTATATTAGAAAAATATTTTATATATACACAGACACAGGAAATATATATATTTATTTCTACAGGTATACATATAGAAAAATACAACTCCTTTTTTAGACATTGTTTAACTTTTAAAAATGATTATATTATAGATGTTTTGTATTTTATGTTAAAATTGAATTAATTTATTTATTCATTTTGAGATAAGGTCTTGCTCTGTCACCCAGGCTGGAGGGCAGTGGCGTGATCATAGCTCCCTGCACCCTTGAACTCCTGAGCTCAAGCAATTCTCCTGCCTCGGCCTCCCAAGTAGCTGGGAATACCGGTGCGCACCACCGCACCCAGCTAGTGTTTAAAAAAATGTTTTCATAGCAATGAGGTCTACCGTATCTTGCTCAGGCTGGTCTCGAACTCCTGTGCTCAAGTGATCCTCCTGCCTCAGCCTCCCAAAGTCCTGGGATGACAGACATGAGCCACTGCACCCGCCCCCGTTTTAAATTTCAGATGAAGGGGTGTGTGTGCAGGGGTGTGACTTAGGTATATTGTGTGATGCTGAGGTTTGGGCTTCTAATAATCCCAACACCCAGGTAGTCAGCGTACCCCCCAGTTGGTAGTTTTTGAACCCTTACTGCTCTCCATCCACACTCCTTTTGAAATCCCTAGTGTCTGTTTTTCTCATCCTTCTATTCATTTTTATTTATTTATTGAGATAGTGTCTCGCTTTGTCTCCCAGGCTGGAGTGCAGTGGCGTGATCTTGGCTCACTGCAGCCTCTGCTTCCTGGGTTCAAGTGATTCTCCTGCCTCAGCCTCCCAGGTAGCTGAGATTACAGGCACCCGCCACCATGCCCGGCTAATCTTTTGTAATTTTAGTAGTGATGGGATTTCACTATGTTGGCCAGGCTGGTCTTGAACTCCTGGCCTCAGGTGATCCACTCGTCTTGGCCTCCCAAAGTGCTGGGATTAAAGGTGTGAGCCACTGAGGCTGGCCGGAAATCTTTCTTTCTTTCTTTCTTTTTTTTTTTTTGAGACGCAGTTTTGCTCTTGTTATCCAGGCTGGAGTGCAGTGGTGCAATCTTGGCTCACTGCAGCCTCTGCTTCCTAGGTTCAAGCAATTCTCCTGCCTCAGCCTCCCCTCCCAAGTAGCTGAGATTACAGGCACACACCACCACGCCCAGCTAATTTTTTGTAATTTTAGTAGAGACGGGATTTCACTATGTTGGCCAGGCTGGTCTTGAACTCCTGGTCTCAGGTGATCCACTCGTCTTGGCCTCCCAAAGTGCTGGGATTAAAGGTGTGAGCCACTGCGCCTGGCCGGAAATGTTTCCCTTTTTAAATTTTATTTATTTATTTATATTTTGAGACGGAGTTTTGCTCTTGTTACCCAGGCTGGAGTTCAATGGTGCAATCTTGGCTAACCGCAGCCTCTGCTTCCTGGGTTCAAGCAATTCTCCTTTCTCAGACTCCCAGGTAGCTGGGATTCCTGGACCTGCCACCATGCACAGCTAATTTTTGTATTTCTAGTAGAGACGGGGTTTCATCACGTTGGCCAGGCTGGTCTCGAACTCCTGACCTCAGGTGATCCACCCACCTCGGCCTCCCATAGTGCTGGGATGTCAGGCGTGAGCCACCATGCCCCACCTTTGCGTTTCTAACTCTGTCTCGGTGTCTGCATTCCAGAACCCCCCAAGAAACACAGACCCGCTTCATAGACTTATTTTGCCACTTATACGTCTTATTTACTGACAAGTCCTTTCAGCTCTATTTCCTAATTTTTATCGGGTCAGGTGCCATCTTCGTATGACTTGTAACTATGCTTCCTAAATGTTGGCCACAAGTCCTTTAGGAGATATATGTCTTCCCAATAGTTTCTTACATTCTGTGGCTTGTCTTTTCACTTTCTTCAGAGTATTTCTTTTTTTTTTTTTTTTGCGACTTTTCCTCCCTCACTGCAAAACATCAGGCCTATGTAGGTACCTTATAAGCCGTAAAATTGCTTTATCTGAATTTTGCAATCTAGATTTTGGTTTTGACCATGAAAAAAAGACTCGTTGGCTGGGCGTGGTGGCCCAACACCTGTAATCCCAACACGTTGGTAGGCCAAGGCGGGTGGATCACAAGGTCAGGAGTTCAAGACCAGCCTGGCCAATATGGTGAAACCCCGTCTCTACTAAAAGTACAAAAAATAAAATAAAAAATTAGCCTGGCATGGTGGTAGGTGCCTGTAGTCCCAGATACTCGGAAGGCTGAGGCAGGAGAATCGCTTGAACCCGGGCAGTGGAGGTTGCAGTGAGCCGAGATGGCGCCACTGCACTCCAGCCTGGGCGACAAGAGTGCGACTCCATCTCAAAAAATAAAAATAAAAAAGAATTGTCTTAGTCGCTTGGCCTCCTGTAGAAGATATCATCGTTAAATGCAATCCATCATTCTTTTTGAGATCATAGATGCAACAGCACACCATGGTTTTGTGGTTTACATTTAAGTCCATGATTTATTTTGAGTTAATTTGTATAAAAGCTATGAGGTTTAGGTTGCGATTCATTTTTTGATGTTGTTCGTCATGTCTCCTTGCTCCAGAAATTTCAGTGAAATGGATATTCCTCTTCCATTAAATTACTTTTGCTCCATTCTCAAACATTAGTCGGACATCATTGCAGGTATCTGTTTCTGGGTTCTCTATGCTGTTCCATTTATTTATGTGTCTTATCTTTGTTCAGTGCCATACTCTCTCCATTTTATCCCAGCAATATAGTAATCCCAAAGAGTGTGTGATTTCTGTCACTTAATTCTTTCTCAAAATGGTTTCAACTCTTACAGAGCTTTTCCATTACTTTATAAATGTTATAATAATCTTTTCTATGTCTATTTTTAAAATTTTTTCTAGGTATATTTTTAAAATGCTGGGATTTTTATGTGAATTTTGTTTGTTTGTTTGTTTTTTGAGATGGAGTCTTGCTCTGTCGCCCAGGCTGGAGTTTACTGACACAATCTTAGCTCACTGCAACCTCCACCTCCTGGGTTCAAGCAATTCTTCTGCCTCAGCCTCCCGAGTAGCTGGAATTACAGGTGCCCTCCACCACACCCAGGCAATTTTTGTATTTTTATTAGAGACATGGTTTCATCATGTTGGCCAGGCTGGTCTCAAACTCCTGGCCTCAGGTGATCCACCCGCCTCAGCCTCCTGAAGTGCTGGGATTAGAGGCGCGAGCCACTGCACTCAGCCTGAATTGTGTTAACTCTGTAAATCAGTTTAAGGAGAACTTACATCTTTACTATAGTGATTGTGCTCCAGGAACTCAGTATGCCTTTCCTTAATTGGATCTTCGTTGATATTTTTCATCAGAATTTTATAATTTTTATCATACAGAACTACATATGCTTGGTGAGATTTATATATAAGTATTTCGTTCTCTTTGGAGCAATTTAAAATAGTTTTTTTTTTTTTTTTCTTTGAGACAGAGTCTCGTTCTATAGCCCAGGCTGGAATACGATGACACGATCTTGGCTCTCTGCAACCTCTACCTCCCGAGTTCAAGTGATTCTCCTGCCTTAGCCTCCCGAGTAGCTGGGACTACAGGCACCTGCCACCTCGCCCAGCTAATTTTTTTGTATTTTTTGTAGAGACTGGGTTTCACCATGTTGGCCAGGCTGGTCTCAAACTCCTGACCTCAGGTGATCCACGCCCCCCTCGGCCTCCCAAAGTGCTGGGATTACAGGCGTGAGCCACCACACCCGGCCTAAAATAGTATTATAGTTTATATTTTGGTTTCCCCTTGTCCATTGTCACTGTATAGAAATACAATTGATTTTTATACATTTATCTTGCATCCTGTGAACTTATTGAGCTCATTTATTAGTTCTAGAAAGTTTTTTCCAGATTATTTGATATTTTCTATCAAGACAATTATATCATCGTCAAATAGAGACAATTTTTTTCTTTTTTTCCATGAGGGTTTGTTTTTACTCTTTGACTGTTTTTTTTTTTTTTTTTTTTTTTTTTTTTTTTTGTATATTTTGAACTCTTCATAATGATTTTTTGTAAACCAAAATGATGTTTGGATCCTTAATACACTTCCCTGAACCCCATCCTGGAAAAACCCTCAAGATATACTCAGGTCAGAGGTCTCCAAGGAGCAGTTGCTTTGAACACTGCCCAGTGACCATGTGGCTTACCCAACCCTTGCAAATGCTTCCAGAAAATGTCTTTCTTTAGTCTTTTGCTGATAAGTTTAATCAGTCCACCAGTTTAGCATTTTGTATTCATAATGTAAATAAACCAGTTTCCCTGTGACTTTTTCCCTTTGTAGTCAAAGCTCTACACACCGAGCCCAGGGCCTTTTAATGCTTTCTGCTTTGCCAAAACCAGCCTTACTTTTCTGCCTATTTAAACATCATTGTTAGGGCCGGGCCTGGTGGCTCACGCCTGTAATCCCAGCACTTTGGGAGGCCGAGGTGGGCAGATCACAAGGTCAGGAGTTCGAGACCAGCCTGGCCAACATGGTGAAACCCCGTGTCTACTAAAAATACAAAAATTAGCTGAGTGTGATGGCAGGCGTCTCTAGTCCCAGCTACTCAGGAGGCTGAGGCAGGAGAATCGTTCGAACCCAGGAGGCGGATGTTGCAGTGAGCCGAGATCGCGCCATTGCACTCCAGCCTGGGCAACAGTGCGAGACTACGTCTCAAAACAAAAAACATCATTGTCAATATTCATCTTTGGTTTGAGCCTCCGTTTCTTTCTCCTTTAAATGAAATTGCTTAAGAGCAGATAAATGTTTTTCAGCACTTTATTCCTCCTTCTCAGTTCTCTTTGTTTCCCCTGCTTTATTAAAAATCTTAAATAATATCCATATTGTTGGCACCAGACTCTCATTGCCGAAACCCCATTTAGCTAAGCTAGTGCTGTGATCTCCCGGGCCTCCTAATGACATTCTTAAGCATGTCCCCCTCGGTGTGTGCGGAGGAAGCTGTGTCACTTATGTTGATCTGACAGAAGTCAACACAACAACAGCTCCCCTGCCAGTAGGATGCCCCGGGCTGGACTGTGCCTGTCAACTCCCTGCTGGAGGGTGGCTGTGAAATTTCTCATGCTGCCTTCTTGGAATTGTAGCCAGAGTGCATCCACAAAACAATGCTGCGGGATGCTGAATAACAGCCCCCAGTCATACACAGGTCCTTATCCTTAAAACCCATGAATAGCCTGTAATGAGGCCGAGGTGGGTGGATCACCTGAGGTCAGGAGTTCAAGACCAGCCTGGCCCACATGGCGACACCCCGTCTCTACTAAAAATACAAAAATTGGCCGGGCATGGTGGCTCACGCCTGTCATCCCAGCACTTTGGGAGGCTGAGGCGGGCGGATCACAAGGTCAGGAGATCGAGACCATCCTGGCTAACACAGTGAAACCCCGTCTTTACTAAAAATACAAAAAAAAAAAAAATTAGCTGGGTGCAGTGGTGGGTGCCTGTAGTCCCGGCTACTCGGGAGGCTGAGGCAGGAGAATGGCGTGAACCTGGGAGGCGGAGCTTGCAGTGAGCCGAGGTCTTGCCACTGTACTCCAGCCTGGGTGACAGAGTGAGACTCCGTCTCAAAAAAATAATAATAAAATAAAAATTAGCTGGATGTGGTGGCACGGGCCTGTAATCCTGACTACTCAGGACGCCGAGGCAGGAGACTCACTTGAACCTGGGAAGTGGAGGTTGCAGTGAGCTGAGATCACGCCACTGCACTCCAGCCTGGGCAACAGAGCAAGACTTCATCTCAAAAACAAAAATAAACAAACAAACAACAACAATAAAAACACGAATAGGTTACATTATATGGTAACAGACTTTAAAGATGCATTTCAGTTAATGATCTTGAGATGGGAGGATGATATCGGATTATTGAGGTGGATCCTCAATGTCATCAGAAGCATCTTTCTAAGAAGGAGGCAGAGGGAGACTGGACTAGCAAGAGAGTACGCGATGTCAGAACTAAAACGAGGTACGATGTTGCTGGCTTTGAAGGTGGAGGAACGGGCGACAGGCCAAGAAATGAAAGGAATACAGCTCTAAAAGCTGCAAAAGGCAAAAGAATAGCTTCTCCCCTAGAGCCAACCTTACTGAGACTTGAGTTTGAGCCTTTTTGGACAATGTGATAATAGGAGTTATCCCCTTGACATCAAAGTGACAGCTTTCAGCCTGCTGTTGGGGAAGATATGAAGGTTGCCCATGGAGTTTGTCTTCCATTACAGGCTCATATGCAAAGAATTTTGTTTGTTTGTTTATTGTTTTAGATGGAATCTTGCTCTGTCACCCAGGCTGGAGTCCAGTGGTGCCATCTTGGCTCACTGCAACCTCCGCCTCCCGGGTTCAAGCAATTCTCCTGCCCCAGCCTCCCAAGTAGCTGGGACTGCAGGCACCTGCCACCACGCCTGGTCAATTTTTGCATTTTTAGTAGAGATGGGGTTTTACCATATTGGTCAGGCCGGTCTCGAACTCCTAACCTCAGGTGATCCACCCACCTTGGCCTCCCAAAGTGCTGGGATTACAGGCATGAGCCACCGCGCCCGGCTTATATGCAAGGAGTTTCTAAGAAAGAGTGTGTTCAAGGAAGAGCATCAGGTCATGTTTTTTGAGAACTAACTACCTGCAGAGGCAGCAATAAACATGTTTGATGCGCTTGCCTGAGAGTGTTCAATTGTGTTAGTGTTAGAATCCCACCATTCCTGGCTCCCCTGTCCTCCAATGTAGACATATCACCTCTGGCTTTGCAGAAGAAACCTGAGCTGCAATAGAAATGATAGCAATTTTCATATTTTCATTCCCTTTTATCACTAGAACAGCTAATGCTTCCTGAACTATGCGTATCGGATTTAATCCTCACAGAGGGAAAGTCAGAGATTGGAGATCAGCCTCATCTGCAAAGTCAGGCAGGAGTCATATACCAGCTAAGCACTGACTCCAACCTGCATGGATCTCACCCCAAAGCACAGACTAATTTTAACCCCCAGGCCATTTTTATTTGCATCTTGTGTCTGGGACACATCATGTGTCATTTACATCAAGACTGAGCTCCAGGAGGGGAGGTTTTATCCCAACAGGACAGACCTTCTGGGTTTTCAGGCTAATCTCCAACCATTACCTCCACTCAGGTGTGTGTGGTAAATCCCCAACTCCTAGGAGCCCCATGTCACTCTGACCTAATTCACTTGCTCCAAACAAACTCTCTGTCTGAGTCTGTTTTGTGTTTCTATGAAGGAATCTCTGAGGCTGGATAATTTGTAAAGAAAAGAGGTTTATTTGGCTCATGATTCTGGTGGCTGGAAAGTTCAGGATTGGACATTTGCATCTGGTAAGGGCCTCGGGCTGCTTCCACTCAGAGTGAGAGAGTGTATTAATCTGTTTTCACACTGCTGATAAAGACATACCTGAGACTGAGGTTTTTTGGATGTACAGGTCCACATGTCTGGGGAAGTCTCACTATCATGGTGGAAGGCAAGGAGGAGCAAATCACATTTTACGTGGATGGCAGCAGATCTCATGAGACCCATCCATTATCATGAGAACCACATGAGAAAGACCTGCCCCCATAATTCAATCATCTCCCACTGGGTCCCTCCCACAACACATGGGAATTATGGGAGCTAGAAGATGAGATTTGGGTGGGGACATAGAGCCAAACCATAGATTTGGGTGGGGACACAGAGAGGAAGGGGAGCTGCATGTGCAGAGACCACATGTAGAGACAGGAAGCAAGAGAGAGAGAGTGTGTGTGGGGAGGTGCCAGGCTCTTTTTAACAGCCAGCTTTCATAATAACTCATAAGAGAGATAACTCACTTACTCTCAAGGATGGGCACTAATCTGTGCGTGAGGAATCCACTCCCATGACCCAAACACCTCCCATTAGTCCCCACCTTCAGCACTGGGGATGAAATTTCAGCACGACGTTTGGAGGGGTACAAACATCCAAACCATAGCATTCCTGAAACCATGCAACCAAAACCATCATTTTCATAGAAACTATCAGAAAAGCAGATCTGAAGTGGAAACGATGCATTCTCTGCCTCTCGCCAGCATCATGAGTTTCAGACCATGGAAATTTTACTTTGCCTGTTGTGGGTTTGCTCTGTCTTTTTGATCAATGTATCCATAGCAACAACAAGTGGCTTCTGCCTTGTGAATGCCTTGAGAAGTGAGGTAAACACAGAGTAGTGGAAATATCGGGATGCAGCAGGAGCACCTCACAAAATGAGATCCTCTCCTCCAGAATCTCCTTTCATTGTTGGTGCTGGTGCAATTCATCTTTCCCTGCTTTGCAGTAGAGACGTAAAAAATTTCAAACCCAACAGGCATCCCTGGTTGCTCCCTCCCCTCTGTCCAGTTAGTGATGGTGTGAGCAATCCTCCTTTTTTCTGGTCCTAGTGGTCTAGCATTAGACAGCAGGCCTGAGTTTGGAGAAATCCCACTGGAAGAGTCCTGCATGGGGAAGAACCTCCTGGCTCCTCCCAAGAAAGAAAAATGGCAGTCTTCAGTCTTCTAAGGTACTGACCTATGACGTAGCTCACATTACTCAAATGCATGTACTCCAGACTTTGAATCAGATACAAGGACGTGGCTATAATCTCAATGATGGTGCGTCTGCCAAATTCACGTGTTGGAACTTAACCCCCAAGATAATGGTGTTAGGAGGTGTGGGTCATCAGGAGGTAGGATGACTGCCCTCATACATGAGCTTGAGAAATTCTGCTTGCTCCTTCTGCCCCTCTGCCATGGGAGAACACAAAGAAGGCACCATCTTTGAAGCAGAGAGAGAGCAAGCCCTTAGCAGACACTACGTGGCCCTCAGCAGATGTAGGCTGAGAATTGGGAGAAGGGTCTTTGTCTATTGTTTGAGCTTATGGATGGTAGGAGGCACCCGGGTCTAAGGTGAGACTCTTTGTGTTTGAATCTTCCATGTATCTCAAAAAGCCATGAAAGGAACGAGTCTCCGTTCACGCTCTCTTTCTAGTTCCCTTTTCTTCTTCTTCCTCTTCCTCTCCTCCTTCCTCTCCTTCCTCTCCTCCTCCTCCTCCTCCTCCTTTTTTTTTTTGACAGAGTCTTGCTCTGTCACCAGGCTGGACTGCAGTGGCGTGATCTTGGCTCACTGCAACCTCCGCCTCCCAGGTTCAAGTGATTCTCCTGCCTCAGCTTCCCAAGTAGCTGGGACTACAGGCGCGCACCACCATGCCCGGCTAATTTTTGTATTTTCATTAGAGATGGGGTTTCACCATGTTAGCCAGGATGGTCTTGATCTCTTGACCTTCTGATCCACCCGCCTTGGACTCCCAAAGTGCTGGGATGACAGGCATGAGCCACCGCACCCGGCCCCTAGTTCCCTCTTCTATAAAATGCAGGAATGATAATACAGGTTGGCCATTCCTCATCTGGAAGTCCAAAACCTGAAATGCTCCAAAATCTGAAACTATGTGAGCAGCAGCATGGTACCATAAGTGGAAAATTACAGTGATACTAAGGTGGTGTGTGTTGGGAGGACTCTTTGTTCGTTGATGAAGGACAACGAACTCTTGACCTTATGTGAAAGGTCACAGTCAAAATGCAGTCAAAACCTTGTTTTATGCACAAAATTGTTAAAATGTTTAAAATTACCTTCAGGTCATCTGTGTAAGATGCATATGAGGCTGCGCGTGGTGGCTTACACTTGTAATCCCAGGATTTTGGGATGCCGAGGCGGGTGAAATCATTTGAGGTCAGGGATTCGAGACCAGCCTGACCAACATGGTGAAACCCCGTCTCTACTAAAAATTCAAAAAATTAGCCGGGTGTGGTGGCACGTGCCTGTAATTCCAGCTACTGGGAGGCTGAGGCAGGAGAATAGCTTGAACCTAGAAGGTGGAGCTTGCAGTGAGCTGAGATCACACCACTGCACTCCAGCCTGGGCGACAAAGGGAGACTCCATCTCAAAAAAAAAAAAAAAAAGATGCCTATGAAGCATAAACGAATTTTGCATTTAGACAAGAGCTCAATCCCAAGATAGCTCATTAAATATACGAATATAACAAAATCTGAAAAAATAAAATGTTTGAAATACGTCCAGTCCCAGGCATTTCAGATATAAGATACTCAACCTGTATTAACTTTCTGGTTTTCTGGGAAAATAAAATGAATGATTTTAAATCAAGAATTGGGCATAGGGCTTGGTTCTTAGTAAGTCCTCAGAATGTTCTTGTCATTGTTATGATAGTCCTCAACAATCCTAAAGATTGATATTCCATATTTCTACCGACTTGTCAAGAGCAGGAACAAACTATAATGATACGAAGGGTGGTGTGTGTTGGAGGACTCTGTTTGTTGAGGAAGAACAAGGAACTCTTGTCTTGACCTCATGCGAAAGGTCACAGTCAAAATGCAGTCAAAACTTTGTTTTATGCACAAAATCGTTAAAATATATAAAATTACCTTCAGATCATGTGTATAACATGCATATGAAACATAAATGGATTTTGTGTTTAGACAAGAGCCCCCTCTAGAGATACCTCATTATATATCCAAATATAAAAAAATCTGAAAAAATAAAATGTTTGAAAACACTTCCAGCCCCAGGCATTTCAGATAAGAGATACTCAACCCGTATTAACTTTCTGGTTTGCTGGGAAAATAAAATGAATGATTTTAAATCAAGAATTGGACACAGTGCTTCGTTCTTAGTAAGTCCTCAGAATGTTCTTGTCATTGTTATCATACTCGTCAACAATCGTAAAGATTATTCCATATTTCTACGTACTTGTCAAGAGCAGGAACAAATTACATCTTTTCCGTATATGCATTCCTGTTGGTTTGCTGATTTATCTATAAAATACCCGTGCACTTTTGTTCCCCCACTAGGTTTTTCGGCCCATCTGCTCTTTTTTTTGCAGAAGGGAATTAGAAGAAATAGGTTTAGGCTGGCATCACCAAAAGTCTTTTCTCTCTTTAAAAGATATTCTTATTTTCCACCCGTCTTCGACAGCAACTTTATTTTCACCAAAAAGAATCGATGTGGAAAATGTCTTCCCTTCCACACAGTTCACTGCAGACATGTGAAAAGCTGCAACGGACATTCCTGGCTTTACTCAAGTTTCTCAGGAAAGGGCTCCACAGAGAAATAATTCCTTCCAGGGACTTCAAGCTATGACCTTGGGGACTGAAATCTGGAGACAAAGGGAATGGGTGTTTGCCTTCACCTCATGAAAGGTGAATGAGGTTCTGCGGTCACAATGGCTTATGTTCGTTCTATCTTGTCTTGTTCTTTCTTTCACTTTCTTCTTTCTTTTTGAGACAGAGTTTCCTGCTTTCGTCTTTTTTTTTGAGACACTTTCTTTCCTTTCTTCCTTCTTCTTCCTCTTTCTTTCTGACAGTTTCCCTCCCTCCCTCCCTTCCTTCCCTCTCTTCCTTCCTTTCCTTCCTCCCTCCTCCCTTCTTTCTTCCTTCCTTTCTTCCTTCTTCTTCCTCTTCTTTCTTTCCTTTCTTCTTTCTGTTTCAGACAGTTTCTTCTTCTTTTTTAGACAGAGTTTCTTCTCTCTTTTTGAGACAGTTTCCCATCCTTCCTTCCTTCTCTCTCTCTCTCCCTTCCTTCCCTCCCTCCCTCCCTCCTCCTTTTCTTTTCTTTTCCTTTCCTTTCCTTTCTTTTCCTTTCTCTCTCTTTCTTTTCTTTCTCTTTCTCTTTCTTTCTTTCATCAGAGTATTGCTCTGTCACCCAGGCTGGAGTGCAGTGGTGCGATCTCGGCTCACTGCAACCTCTGCCTCCCAGGTTCAAGCGATTCTCCTGCCTCAGCCTCCTAAGTAGCTGGGACTACAGGCACATGCCAGCATGCCCAGCTACTATTTGTATTTTTAGTAGAGATGGGGTTTCACCATGTTCACCCAGCTGGTCTCGAACTCCTAACCTCGTGATCTGTCCACCTCGGCCTCCCAAAGTGCTGGGATTACAGGCGTGAACCACCACAACCGGCCGGTTTTTGTTGTTAAAAGCAATCTCCAGCTTTGTGAAAGTCATTAAGACAGGCGTCTGGATTTTCTTTTCTCTAAATCCTTGTTGTAAAACAACCCGAAGATTCCAATTATACGATGTGAAAGTCACAGAGTGGTGGGAAAAAGAAAATCATCACTCAACACTCCACGCCCGGAGCACTTGCTGTCTGTGTTCCGATGGATGATGGTCTGGCGTGAATACGCAGAGATCACCGATGTTGGCTGGACACTAGTTTATGTTGGTTTGAAAAATCAAGGGAATCTCACATCTTTCCCTTGTTGAGAGTGGCTGTGATTCACCTGTCACAAACACTTTCAGGAAAATTTCTGAGGATACACAGGCACGATGGGACCCCCCCCAACCTCAACTGTGCTCATGGGCAGACACACACACCGCTCAAGATAATTCTCCGAGCCCTGAGTCAGGGAACATGAAGTTTCTATGGGTTGAGATACAAAGCAGTAGACATAATTTCTTGTTACTGTTGTTTTGAGATGAGTCTTGCTCTGTCGCCCAGGCTGGAGTGCAATGGCACAATCTCGGCTCACTGCAACCTCTACCTCCTGGGTTCAAGTGATTCTCCTCCCTCAGCCTCCTGAGTACCTGGGATTACAGGTGCCCACCACCACGCCTGGCTAATTCTTTTTTTTTTTTTTTTTTTTTTTTGAGACAAAGTCTTGCTCTGTCACCAGGCTGGAGTGTAGTGGCCCAATCTTGGCTCACTGCAACCTCTGCCTCCTGGGTTCAAGCAATTCTCATGCCTCAGCCTCCCGAGTAGCTGGGACTACAGGCGCCCACCACCACTCCTGGCTTTTTTTTTTTTTTTTTTTGTATTTTTAATAGACACGGGGTTTCACCATATTGGCCAGGTTACTCTTGAACTCCTGACCTTGTGATCCGCCCACCTCAGCCTCCCAAAGTGCTGGGATTACAGGTGCGTGAGCCACCACATCCAGCTAATTTTTTTTTTTTTTGACCAAGTCTTGCTCTGTCACCAGGCTGGAGTGTAGTGGCACAATCTCGGCTCACTACAACCTTTGCCTCCTGGGTTCAAGCAATCCTCCTGCCTCAGCCTCCCGAGTAACTGGGACTACAGGCATGGGCCACCATGCCCAGCTACTTTTTTGCATTTTTTGTTTTTTTAGTAGAGACGGGGTTTCACCATGTTGGCCAGGCTGGTCTCAGACTCCTGACCTCCGGTGATCCACCCACCTCTGCCTTCCAAAGAGCTGGGATTACAGGGGTGAGCCACTGTGCTTGGCCTCAGTAGACATGTTTACATGGTTGTCCAGTTGCCTGCACACCTCCAACACACACCACCCTTCGTATCCTTGTGGTTTGTTCCTGCTCTTGACAAGTAGGTAGAAATAAGGAATACCAATCTTTAGGATTGTTGAGGACTGTCACAACAAGACAAAAAGAACTTAAAAGAACATACTGACAACCAAGTGCTGTGTTCAATTTTTTTTTTTTTTTTTTTTTTTTTGAGATGGAGTCTCGCTCTGTCGCCCAGGCTGGAGTGCAGTGGCGCGATCTCGGCTCACTGCAAACTCCACCTTCCGGGTTCACGCCATTCTCCTGCCTCAGCCTCCCGAGTAGCTGGGACTACAGGCAGCCGCCACCACACCCGGCTAATTTTTTGTATTTCTTTTAGTAGAGATGGGGGCCGTGTTCAATTCTTGATTCATAATTATTCATTTTGTTTTCCCAGCAAACCAGAGAGTTAATACAGGTTGAGTACCCCTTATCAGAAAGGCCTGGCACCAGAAGTGTTTCAAATATTTTGTTCAGGTTTTGTTACAGTAGGGATTGTAACCAGTAATGGTGAAGCTTCTTTCAGTACATTGTCAGATGGGGCATGTCACAATCAACAGCTAAATAATAAGGAGAAACCCCAAATATGGCAGGGCTTGCCTCATCTCCCCACATAAACATCCTTCCAGAAAATGAGCATCTTTACTAAGCTAGACGGGCTTCTGCCCATTGTATGCTCTATAGCTGGGAGTGCTGAAGAGGCCAACATCTAAAATTAAGACTTGAGAGCATATGTAGGAATGTAAGTTAGTAGAGGCACTGTGTGAAAATAGTAAAGAGATTCCTCACAAAGCTAAAAATAGAACTACCATCTGATCCAGCCATTCCCCTGCTGGGAATTTATCCAAAGGAAAGGAAATGAGTATATCGAAGGGATTTCTGCAACCCCGTATTTACTGCAGTACGGTGCACAGTAGCCGAGACATGGAATCCGCCTCATTGTCCATCAATGAATAAAGAAAGAAAGAAGATGTGGCCGGGTGCGGCGGCTCACGCCTGTCATCTCAGCACGTTGGGAGGCTGAGGAGAGACGATCACCTGAGGTCAGGAGTTCGAGACCAGCCTGGCCAACATGGTGAAACCCCGTCTCTACTAAAAATACAAAAATTAGCCAGGCATGGTGGTGGGTGCCTGTAATCCCAGCTACTCGGGAGGCTGAGGCAGGAGAATTGCTTGAACCTGGGAGGTGGAGGTTGCAGTGAGCCGAGATCGCACCACTGCACTCCAGCCTGGGCAACAGGAGCAAAGCCCTATCTAAAAAATAATAATAATAATAATAATAAAATGTGTTAGGAGACTTTGACACCTACTATTATTGTACCAGTCTTATGTTTCCCTTACAATCTATCGTGGCTCACACCTGTAATCCCAGCACTTTGGGAGGCCGAGGCGGGCAGATCATGAGGTCAGGATATCGAGACAATCCTGGGGAACATGGTGAAACCCCATCTCTACTAAAAATACAAAAATTAGCCGAGTGGGGTGGCAGGCACCTGCAATCCAAGCTACTTGGGAGGCTGAGGCAGGAGAATCACTTGAACCTGGGAGGCAGATGTTGCAGTGAGCCGAGATCATGCCATTGCACTCCAGCCTGGGTGGTAGAGTGAGACTCCATCTCAAAAAAAAAAAAAAGTTTGCTTTGTGTATTTGGGAACTCTGATGTTTTCAGCATGTATATTTACAATTGTTATGTATTCCTGTGGAATCAACCATTTTGAGTTACATGAAGACCTTCTTTGTCTCTTGTGACAGCATTTGAATTAAAGTCTATTTTGTCTGAAAAAGAGAATGTTTTATATATATACAATGGTGCAGCCATCAAAAGGAAGGAAGTCCTGTCATTTGCAGCAACATGGATGACCCTGGAGGTCATTATGTTACATGAAATAAGCCAGACACAGACAGACACGTTTTCTGTGTGTTCACTCATACTTGGGCACTAAAAAGGTTATCTCATGGACATAGAGGAGAATGATGGATAAGAGATCCTGGAAATGGTTTGTGGAGACAGTGTTTAGATGAAGAGTTTGGTTAATGGGCACAAAGATCCAATTACATAGAACATATAAGTTCTGGTTTTTTTTTTTTTTTTTGAGGCAGAGTCTCACTCTGTCGCCCAGGCTGGAGTGCAGTGGTGCGATCTCGGCTCACTGCAACCTCCGCCTCCCGGGTTCAAGCGATTCTCCTGCCTCAGCCTCCTGAGTAGCTGAGACTACAGGCGCCCGCCACCACGCCTGGCTAATTTTTGTATTTTTAGTACAGACAGGGTTTCACCATATTGGCCAGGCTGGTCTCGAACTCCTGACCTCGTGATCCGCCCTCCTCGGCCTCCCAAAGTGCTGGGATTACGGGTGTGAGCCACCGTGCCTGGCCCGTGAGCCATCACGCCTGGCCAGAAGATGTAAGTTATAATGTTCTATGGTAGAGCAGGGTCACTATAGTTAGCCAGAATGTATTATATATTTGAAAGCAGCTAGAAGAGAAAACTGGAAATTTTGCTAACACACAGAAATGACTCCAGGTGCTGGACGCGCCAAATACCCCAGCTTAATCATTACACTTTCTAGGCAGGCAGCAATAAATCACATGGAAGGCAGACATCTATAAACTATCACGTACCAATAAAAAAGATCCCACAGCACAGCTGATCTCATAAATAAATATATTTTTCAGTAGAAGCAGAAATAGAATCCTAATTCTGAGCTTGTTCTGTGATTTCTTCAAATATAAAGATATCATCAGCCATTTGAACCCTGTAAGTAACAGAAAGCCAGATAAGAGTGATTCTCAGGATGTTGCTTTATCCCTATGTCACAAATCGCTAAATAAGTAATTACCGGAAAAGAAGCCATGAATGTCACTAGCCATTTTTAAGTTTTTTGTTTTCTCTTTTGAGATGGAGTCTCACTGTGTCACCCAGGCTGGAGTGCAGTGCTGCAATCTCTGCTTGCTATAACCTCCATCTCCTGGATTCAAGCGATTCTCCTGCCTGAGCCTCCGAAGTGGCTGGGACTACAGGTGCACGCCACCACGCCCAGCTCATTTTTGTATTTTTAGTAGAGACAGGGTTTCACCATGTTGGCCAGGCTGGTCTCAAACTCCTGACCTCAGGTCATCCTCCCGCCTCAGCCTCCCCCAAAGTGCTGGTATTACAGGAGTGAGCCACCGTGCCCAGCCCATTTTAAATTATTACAGCATTCTATTTTTAAACTCACATCTCTTAAACATATTTAGTTCTTATTTTTAGTCACTGCCAACACTAGGACATAAAACCATAATAATTTCAGCAGTTTACAAAAAACCCTTGAAATTTGAACACCTGTATGAACCAACCATCTGTGGTTATTTAAACCACATTTATTTGAAATTAGAGAATGAAGTACAGAATCTCTTTAGAACTGTGACCTTCTTCAGCCCAGAGGTTATTGATTCTTTATCCCCTTTACCTATTGTATTATCAGTCAATGAGCGGGAAATAAATCTGCAATTGTTGAATAGCCTACTGACCAAATTAATGAATATTCCTTGGTGCTTTCTTGCAATTCTGTGGCTTAATTAAGGATCTTTAAAAATATTAGTTTTTCGGCCGGGCGCGGTGGCTCACGCCTGTAATCTCAGCACTTTGAGAGGCCAAGGCGGGTGGATCACCTGAGGTCAGGAGTTCGAGACCAGCCTGACCAACATGGAGAAATCCCGTCTCTACTAAAAATACAAAATTAGTCAGGCGTGGTGGTGCTCACCTGTCATCCCACCTACTTGGGAGGCTGAGGCAGGAGAATCACTTGAACCTGGGAGGCAGAGGTTGCGGTGAGCCGAGATTGTGCCATTACACTCTAGCCTGGGCAACAAGAGTGAAACTTCGTCTCAAAAAAAAAAAAAAAAAAAGTAGTCTTTCATCCAGTTTTTTAAATAAAAAACTTTATGAAAAAATACTAGTTTTCCATACAGCTTTTAAAGAAATTGGTGGTCTATATTAAAAAATTAAAACCGGACCTGATAGGAGCTGGAGCACATAAATACATAGACTAGCAGCGGGCTTTTCTGTTCTTTATTTATTTTGTTTGTTTGTTTTCAATGCTCTCTGATACAATTAATGACCTTTCTCTACCCAGACAATGCTTCAGTCTATACCAGCTCACACAAAGAGAAAAAGTTCACACAGGTATGCCGGCGCGATCTTCAGAATCCCCACGGTTAAACACAATGGCCCTGCGGGCTTTTGAGACCAGACACGAAGCACGGAAGAATTTATCCTTTCCCCGATGCTATTGTTCCTAGTAATGTCTTTGACATTGGAATTCGACTAAAAAAAAAAAAAGGAGGGGATGCTGGTGGCATTTGACAATTTGTCAAGGGGTGAGTGTCAAAACTACTTCATTTACAGAAGTAGAAATTTTAGAGGGTAGCTCCAAACCCAACTGGTCCAGTAGGATACTCACCTTACAGGGGGGGTCTCAAGAGTCTCACAGTTCCCTTGGGTCTTAAGAGACTCACTGTTGGACCAGGCGTGGTGACTCACGCCTGTAAAACCAGCACTTTGGGAGGCCGAGGCGGGCGGATCACTTGAGGTCAAGAGTTCAAGACCAGCCTGACCAAGGTGCTGAAACCCCGTCTCTACTAAAAATACAAAAATTAGCCAGGCATGGTGGTGTGCGCCTGTAATCCCAGCTACTCCAGAGGCTGAGGCAGGAGAATCTCTTGAACCCAGGAGGTGGAGGTTGCAGTGAGTCGAGATCATGCCACTGCACTCCAGCCTGGGTGACAGAGCGAGACTCCGTCTTAGAAAAAAAAAAAAAAAAAAAGAATCTCACAGTTCAGCAGGGTTCTAGCATGAGACAATGAGGACAAGGGTAGGTGAGCAGGTGGAAAGAGTGAGAACAGGTCAATTGTGATGGAGAAAATAATAAAGACAGAAAAGGCAGAAGACCGCCTGGCAGAAGACCTGTCCCAGCAGATACAAAAATACAGACAACAGGAGCCAGCATAGACCCTTGACCTGTGTAAGTCTTTCTCAGGCCTTCTTTTAAGTAGAAACATGCCTTTGAAAAAAAGTTTTAATAAACAGGAAAATCATAAATCCCTATTTACATAAATAATATATCCTGGTCTTATTCTTAGAACCATTGATTTTTCACGGCTCATTAAGAAAGCTGGGCGAGGTGGCTCACGCCCGTCATCCTAGCACTTTGGGAGGCCGAGGCGGGCAGATCACAAGGTGAGGAGTTGGAGACCAGCCTGACCAACACGGTGAAACCCAGTCTCTACTAAAAATACAAAAATTAGCTGGGGGTGGTGGTGTGTGCCTGTAATCCAAGCTACTCGGGAGGCTGAGGCAGGAGAATCGCCTGAACCCGGGAGGTGGAGGTTACAGTGAGCCGAGATCGTGCCACCGCACTCCAGTCTGGGAGACAGAGTGAGACTCTATCCTAAAAAAAAAAAAAAGGAGAAAAAAGAAAACAACATGGTCCTCAGTTAGTCGGTGGCAGGACTGAATCTCCAGTGACCGCTCTTCTCTTACCCAGTAATGAAAATTTAGCCATCAGAGAGAGGTCAGAACTTCTCATACACCCAGAAGGCTGAGAATACCTTTATGCCTGTTCTCCCTCCTCGTCAGCGAGTATGTCAATTGCTGTTTCTAAATGTCTTGGAGATGTTTATATTACAGTTTTGCATTTTGTGACAAGTGCCGTGCAGCCTGCTTTTCACCGTGAACCTGGAAACCTACCCTTCTAACACGATTTATCAGGCCTGTTCATAACTGCTCACTCCACACCGTGTTTTAAACGCCCAGCATTGACTAGAAGCTCAGCCACGGAAATCAATTCTTTCCATCACGGTTCTGCCCTCCAATGATAGACAAGGCAGTTTTCCTGTACAAGTGCCGTGGATTTCTGCAAGATATAATTAATGCTTTGTCACTTTCTCCCCAGAAAGTTGCCTTTGTTTATTGCACTGCGAAATTGGAAGTTGGCAAAGGTGAAAGGTAGTTCTCCTGTGAGAATACATTGTGATTTTTTTTTTTTCCGTAAGAAATTTAAGATGACAGCCGGGCGTGGTGGATCATGCCTGTAATCCCAGCACTTTGGGAGGCTGAGGCGGGCGGATCCATTGAGGTTGGGAGTTCAAGACCAGCCTGGCCAACATGGTGAAACCCCATCTCTATCAAAAATATAAAAAATTACCCAGGTGTGGTGACGCACTCCTGTAATCCTGGCTACTCGGAAGGCTGAGGCAGGAGAATCGCTTGAACCCGGGAGGCAAAGGTTGCAGTGAGCCGAGATCGCACCATTGCATTCCAGCCTGAGTGACAGAGTGAGACTCCATCTCAAAAAAAAAAAAAAAAAAAAAAAGCACAAGGGAAGATGGGGGCGCACTCCTGTAATCCCAACTACTTGGAAGTCTGAGGCAGGAGAATCACTGGAACCTGGGAGGCAGAGGTTGCAGTGAGCCGAGATCACACCATTGCATTCCAGCTTGGGCGACAGAGTGAGACTCCATCTCAAAAAAAAAAAAAAGAAATTTAAGATGACAACTAAAGCTTTCCTAACAAGGAGTGACACTGTGAAGGCTATGGAGGCTATCCCACTATTTAAATGCAGGGAAGAGGTGGAGAAAAGGGAGAGGAAGCAAGGATCCCAGAAACACACATCAAGCAGACACGCCCAAGTTTAGAAATAGTCTGAAAAGGTTAACTTGCTTCGTTCCAAGAAAAACCTAAATGTACCTGGATTCAGAGAAGTTGTTTAGTCCATGAGATGAATTTTTTTTTTTTTGAGACAGAGTCTTGCTCTGTCTCCCAGGCTGGAGTGCAGTGGCATGATCTCAGCTCACTGCAACCTCTGCCTCCCAGGTTCAAGCGATTCTCTGGCCTCAGCCTCCCGAGTAGCTGGGATTACAGGCACGTGCTACCACACCCGGCTAATTTTTGTATTTTTAGTAAAGAAGGGCCACCATGTTGGCCAGGCTGGTCTCGAACTCCCAACCTCAGGTGATCCATCTGCTTGGCCTCCCGATGTGCTGGGATTATAGGCATGAGCCACCATGCCCGGACTAATTTTTGTATTTTTAGTAGAGATGGGGTTTCACCATGTTGGCCAGGCTGGTCTCGAACTCCCGACCTCAGGTGATCCACCTGCCTTGGCCTCCCAAAGTGCTGGGATTATAGGCGTGAGCCACCACGCCCGGGCTAATTATTGTATTTTTAGTAGAGATGGGGTTTCACCATGTTGGCCAGGCTGGTCTTGAACTCCTGATCTCAAGTGATCTCCCTGCCTCAGCCTCCCAAAGTGCTGGGATGACAGGCATGAGCCACCATGCCTGGCCAGAAGATGTGGGTTTCTGATCTGAATTTCCATTTTGACTTCATATACGCCATGGACAAATGTATCCCACTTTGATGACTATAAATTCCTTCTCTCATTTTCTTCTCACATCTTAGCAAGCCTTTCTTTTTTTTTTTTTTTTTTTTTTTTTCTAATTTTAACCCTTGTCTCTTTGAGCCAAATCAAATACATTAATTATTGGATCAAGGATAACTTTTATAAAAGGGTCTGGGACAAGGATTAACATTCCCCCTTTCTTGGCTGGTGTCTTTTGTCCTGAAATCTTACTTTGTCTCATTCATAGTAAAATAGGTTATTTTTCACACTCCTCTCTTCCTTTCGCAAACGCCAAAGCCGTAAATGCATTGAGATCAGAGGCTTCTCATTATTTGTAATTATCCCCTCAGCCGAATGCAAGAGGGCCCCGTGGGTAAGGCAGGGTGTTCACGAATACGCCGGCGTTTTCATCACCATCGATACCATCTCGGCTCTTTGCCCCTACTCCCCTGACGATTCTCGCTTCCCCCAGGATAATTACTGGCTTCTTACACTTGAACCCTTACTGCTCTCAGGAAAAGAATGTATCCCGTCCTCCTGGCGCACCGACATTCTTATTTTAAACAGCCGGGGACTGCCCGCCTCTCTCACTCTTTCCACCCTGCAGGATACCATTGTCATTTGCTAGCAGGGGAAACGCAACAATGTATCAGAGTCCAGATTCCAGAAACCCCAGATGCTCGGATTTGTGTTGAGGCCGCTCTGGGGACGTGACAGCACATTTTTGTTGTTGTTGTTGCTGACAGTTTTGTGCGTGATTTGCATCTCCCATCCTTTTTCTACCTGTGACTTCTCATCCAGGAGGCCAAGGGAATGGATGCATATTTCAACATTTCAACCTTTTTTTTTTTTTTTTTTTTAGTAAAAATGCATATATCGGCCGGGTGCGGTAGCTCACGCCTGTAATGCCAGCACTTTGGGAGGCTGAGGTGGGTGGATCCCTTGAGGTCAGGAGTTCGAGACCAGCCTGGCCAACATGGGGAAACCCTATTTCTACTAAAAATACAAAAATTAATCAGTTATGGTAGCACATGCCTGTAATCTCAGCACTTTAGGAGGGCAAGGCGGACAGATCACCGGATGTCAGGAGTTCAAGACCAGCCTGGCCAACATGGCAAAACCCTGTCCGTAGTAAAAATACAAAAATTAGGTGGTGTGGTGGTGGGTGCCTGTAACCCCAGGTACTTGGGAGGATGAGGCAGGAGAACGGCTTGAACCCAGGAGGCAGAGGTTGCACTGAGCCAAGATCACACCACTGTACTCCAGCCTGGGCAACAGAGTGAGACTCTGTCTCAAAAAAGAAGAAATAAGCTGGGCATGGTGGCTCACACCTGTAATCCCAGCACTTTGGAAGGTCAAGGTGGGTGGATTACGAGGTCAGGAGTTCAAGACCAGCCTGGCCAACACAGCAAAACTCTGTTCCTAGTAAAAATACAAAAATTAGCCAGATGTGGTGGCGGGCGCCTGTAACCCCAGCTACTCGGGAGGCTGAGGCAGGAGAATCGCTTGAACCCAGGAGGCAGAGGTTGCAGTGGGCCAAGATCATGCCACTGCACTCCAGCCTGGACGACACAGCAAGACTCCGTCTCAAAATACAAGAAATAGGCCGGGCGCAGTGGCTCACGCCTGTAATCCCAGCACTTCGGGAGGTCGAGGTGGGTGGATCATGAGGTCAGGAGTTCGAGACCAGCCTGGTCAACATGGCAAAACCCTGTCTCTAGTAAAAATACAAAAATTAGCCGGATGCGGTGGCGGGTGCCTGTAACCCCAACTACTCAGAAGGCTGAGGCAGGAGAATCACTTGAACCCAAGAGGCGGAGGTTGCAGTGAGCCAAGATCACGCCACTGCACTCCAGCCTGGGCAACAGAATGAGAGAGACTCCATCTCAAAAAAGAAGAAATAAATACAATACAAATTTAAAAAAAAATAAAAATGCATATGTCTTGATTATCAATGTCTGCATTTCATAGGTCACCTTAGCTGGGCTGTTTGTATTTTTTGTTTGTTTGTTTGTTTGAGATGGAGTTTTGCTCTTGTTGCCCAGGCTGGAGTGCAGTGGCGTGATCTCGGCTCACCACAACCTCCACCTGCCGGGTTCTGAACCCTGATACTGACAACAATGAATATATAAAGACACTCAAAGCTGCCGTTCTCTGCTGATAATGCTGGCTGTCATTATATTCCCATCAGCTGAAGATGATTTTATGACGTCCGAGGAAGCCCCCGGCCCTGAATGAGTAAATTCCTCCTGCGGTGACATTTAAAATTCCATTTCCCGTTATTCATGTTTTACCGAGGGGGCAAAGCCTCGCTCTGTCCTCGACTTCAGAAGCCACTGTTGGTCTCCTTCCTTTGGAAAATTTAATTTTTAAGGGACAAACAATGATTGCATGTATTTGTAGGGTACAGTGTGAAATTTTGATATATGTACACATCATGGGATAATTGCATGAAGCCAATTAACATATCCCTCACCTCACCTACTTTTCTTTTGTGTGTGTGTGTGTGGGTGGTGCACGCATTTAAAATCCTACGTTTAGGCTGGCGCGGTGGCTCACGCCTGTAATCCCAGCACTTTGGGAGGCCGAGGCAGGCAGATCACGAGGTCAGGAGATCGAGACCATCCTGGCTAACACGGTGAAACCCCATCTCTACTAAATAAAAAAATTAGCCGGGCGTGGTGGCGGGTGCCTGTAGTCCCAGCTACTCGGGAGGCTGAGGCAGGAGAATGGCGTGAACCCGGGAGGCGGAGCTTGCAGTGAGCTGAGATCGCACCACTGCACTCCAGCCTGGGCGACAGAGCGAGACTCCCTCTCAAAAAAAAAAAAATGAAAGAAAGAAAGAAAAAAGAAAAAAAATATCATCTGTTTATTGCAGGACTGTTCACAATAGCAAATACATAGAATCAACCCAAGAGTCCATCAACACGTGAATGGGGCTGGGCGCGGTGGTTCACGCCTGTCACCCCACCACTTTGGGAGGCCGAAGTGGGCGGATGACTTGAGGTCAGGAGTTCGAGACCAGCCTGACCAACATGGTGAAACCCCATCCCTACTAAAAATACAAAAATTAGCCAGATGTGGTGGTGGGCACATGTAGTCCCAGATACTCCAGGCTGAGGCAGGAGAATCGCTTGAAACTGGGAGACGGAGGCTGCAGTGAGTCGAGATCGCGCCACTGCACTCCAGCCTGGGTCACAGAGTGAGACTCTGTCTCAAAAAAAAAAAAAAAAAAAAAAAAGGAAAGATTATAGGATAAGGACCTGGCACGGTGGCTCACGCCTGTAATCCCAGCACTTTGGGAGGCTGAGGTGGGTGGATCACCTGAGGTCAGGAGTTCGAGACCAGCCTGGCCAACACAGTGAAAGCCTGTCCCTACTAAAAATACAAAACTTAGCTGGGCGTGGTGGCAGGTGCCTGTAATCCCAGGTACTCTGGAGGCTGAGGCAGGAGAATCACTTGAACCTGAGAGGCAGAGGCTGTAGTGAGCCGAGATCATGCCACTGCACTCCAGCCTGGGGTGACAGAGGGAGATTCCTTCTCAAAACAACAACAACAAAACAGATGACTGGAGAAGGAAAACGTAGGGTATAAACAAAGGGGAAAACTCTTGAGCTGTAAGAGTGAAGGAAATCCTGTTGGCTGCTGCAACATGGATGGAATCAGAGGCCATTATGTCAAGAGAAAGAAGCCAGGCACAGAAAGACCAATATCGCACGTTCTCACTCCTAGGTAAGTGCTAAACACTTAGGGGGAAAAATAGATAACAGAGCCCGAGAAGGGTGAGAGAGACGGAGGGAGGAGGATGCAGAGAGGTGGGTTAAAGGCTGCACACATACATTAAGATACGAGGAATGGCCAGGTGCGGTGGCTCACGCCTGTCATCCCAGCACTTTGGGAGGCCGAGGCAGGCGGATCACCTGAGGTCAGGAGTTTGAGACCATCCTGGCCAACATGGTGAAACCCCATCTCTACTAAAAATACAAAAATTAGCGGGGTGTGGTGGTGGGCGCCTGCAGTCCCAGCTACTCAGGAGGCTGAGGAAGCAGAATCGCTTGAATCCGGGAGGCGGAGGTTGCAGTGAGCCGAGATCGCGCCACTGCACTCTAGCCTGGGTGACGGAGGGAGACTCCATCTAAAAAAAAAAAAAAAATAGATACAAGGAATACATTTGGGGTTCCATAGCAGAATAAGGTGTATAGACTTAACACAAAAATACTGTATTCAGGTGATGGATGCCCTGAATACCTAGATCACTACACGTTTTATACATGTAACAAAATTTCTCATGGAACCCCTAAATTTGTACAAAACAAGAAAACACAAAAGCATACCAAAATAAAAAAACTCTACTCTCAACAATTTTGCAATGCACAGTACTTTATTATTAACAAAAATAAAAATAAAATCTACTCTGAACAATTTTGAAAGGCACAGTACCTTATTATTAATTAACAAAAATAAAAATCTACTCTGAACAATTTTGAAAGGTACAATACTTTATTATTAAACAAAAATAAAAATAAAATCTCTGAACAATTTTGAAATGCACCGTACTTTATTATTAAAAACAATAATGAAACCGACCCTGAACAATTTTGCAATGCACAATAATTTATTATTAACAAAAATAAATTAAAAATAAAACCTATACTGAACGATTTTGAAATGCACAGTACTTTATTATTAAAAATATATATATAAAACCTACTGTGAACATTTTTTTTTTTGAGATGGAGTCTCACTCTGTGGCCCAGGTTGGAGTGCAGTTGCACTATCTCGGCTCAGTACAACCTCCGCCTCCCGAGCTCAAGCGACTCTCCTGCCTCCACCTCCCGAGTAGGTGGGATTACAGGCACCCACCACCACACCCAGCTAATTTTTGTATTTTTAGTAGATATGGGGTTTCACTGTGTTGGCCAGGCTGGTCTCGAACTCCTGACCTCAGGCGATCCACTCACCTTGGCCTCCCAAAGTTCTGGGATTACAGGCATGAGCCATCTCGCCTGGCCTTACTCTGAACAATTTTGAAATGCACAGTGATTTATTATTAACAAAAATAAAATTAAAACCTATATTGAACAATTTTGAAACGCACAGTACTTTATTATTAACAAAAATAAAACTAAAAATAAAATCTACTCTGAGCTATTTTGAAATGCACAGTACTTTAGTATTAAAAATATATATAAAACGTATTGTGAACAATTTTTTTTTTTTTTGAGACAGAGTCTTACTCTGTCACCCAGGCTGGAGTGCAGTGGCGTGATTTGGGCTCACTGCAACCTCCATCTCCCGGGCTCAAGCGAGTCTCGTGCATCAGCCTCCCTAGTACATGGGATTACAGGTGAAGCACCACCACACCCAGCTAATTTTTGTATTTTTAGTAGAGACAGGGTTTCACCACGTTGGCCAGGCTGGTCTTGAACTCCTGACCTCAGATAATCCAAAGTGCTGGGATTACAGGCATGAGCCAGCGCGTCTGGCCCTACACTGAACAATTTTGAAATGCACAGTGTTTTATTATTAATTAACAAAAATAAAAATAAAACCTACTCTGAACAATTTTGAAATGCACAGTACTTTATTATAAATTAACAAAAATAAAAATAACCTATACTGAACAATGCTGAAACGCACAGTGGTTTATTATTAATTAACAAAAATAAAACCTACTCGGAACAATTTTGAAATGCACAGTGCTTTATTATTAATTAACAAAAATAAAACCTACTCGGAACAATTTGGAAATGCAGTGTTTTATTATTAATTATGTCACCGTGCTGTGCAATAGTTGTGCAGACCTTATTCCTCCTGTCTAACCAAAACTGAATTATCTGACCAACATCTCTCCCCGTGACCTCCACTAGTCTCTGCTACCCACCCTTCTACTCTGCTTCTGTGAGTTTGACTTTTTTAGATTCCACATAGCAGTGAGACCATGTGCTCTTCATCTTTCTCTCTTTCGTGTGTGTGTGTGTGTGTGTGTGTGTGTGTGTGTGTGTGTGTGTTTTTCCCAAGATGGGGTCTTGCTCTGTCACCCAGGCTGGAGTGCAGTGGCATGATCTGGGCTCACTGCAACCTCCGCCTCCCAGGTTCAAGTGCTTCTCCTGCCTCATCCTCCCAAACAGTTGGAATTACAGGCGCGCGCCACCACGCCCAGCTAATTTTTTGCATTTTCAATAGAGACAGGTTTTCACCATGTTGGCAGTACAGTGGTGCAATCTCGGCTCACTACAGCCTCTTCCTCCCAGGTTCAAGCGATTCTCCTGCCTCAGCCTCCCAAAGATCTGGGATTACAGGTGCGCGCCACCACGCCCAGCTAATTTTTTTGTATTTTCAGTAGAGATGGGGGTTTCACCATGTTGCCCAGGCTGGTCTCCAACTCCTGACCTCAAGTGATCTGCCCGCCTCGGCCTCCTCAAAGTGCTGGGATTACAGGCGTGAGCCACCACGCCTGCCTCTCTCTTTCTTAAGTTGACAGAAGAGGATTGATTTGGCCCAAGTACAAGAGTCACCATGTTGGTCAGGCTGGTCTCAAACTCCCGACCTCAGGTGATCCGCCTGCCTGAGCCTCCCAAAGTGCTGGGATTACAAGCGTGAGCCACCACGACTGGCCTCTGTGTAATTTCTTGCTAACACGGTGAAACCCCGTCTGTACTAAAAGTAGAAAAATTAGCCTGGCATGGTGGCGCACACCTGTTATCCCAGCTACCTGGGAGGCTGAGGCAGGACAATTGCTTGAACCAGAGAGGTGGAGCTTGCAGTGAGCCAAGATCGCACCATTGCACTCCAGCCTGGGCGGCGGAGTGAAACTCCATCTCAAAAAATAAATAAATAAATAAATAAATAAATAAATAAATAAATAATAAATGACAGAAAAAGAAAAAAGAAATTATTTAGGTGGATAGTTAGGGTGAAAGGGCCCCCGGCAAAAAGTTTCCTTCTAGCAAAAAGCAGCTCGTGGCCACGGTGGCTCATGTCTGTAATCCTAGCACTTTGGAAGGCCAAACTCCATCTCTAATAAAATGCAAAAAAAAAAAAAAAAAAAAATTAGCTGTGTGTGATGGCGGGTACCTGTAATCCCATCTACTCAGGAGGCTGAGACAGGAAAATCGGTTGAACCCGGGAGGCGGAGGTTGCAGTGAGCCGAGACTGTGCCACTGCAATCTAGCCTGGGCGACAGAGCGAGACTCCATCTAAAAAAAAAAAAGGCAGCTTGAGAAATTGCTTCCTTTCTAACCACACGCCACTCAAAGAAATCACTTCTCTTCTAACAAAGAGCAGCCTGGAAGATGGAGCCGTAAGTTACAGAAAAGCAGGTCCAGCACAGACCTGTTCGAGACCAGCCTGACCAACATGGTGAAACCCCGTCTGTACTAAAAGTAGAAAAATTAGCCTGGCATGGTGGCACGCACCTGCAATCCCAGCTACTTGGAAGGCTGAGGCAGGAGAATCGCTTGAACCCAAGAAGCGGAGGTTGCAGTGAGCCAAGATCGCACCGTTGCACTCCAGCCTGGGCGACAGAGCGAGTCTCCATCTCAAAAAATAATAAGAAAAGAAAAGAAAAAGAAAAAAATTATTTAGGTGGATAGTTAGGCTCTCATTTCCTAGGTCATCACCAAACTTCACCTATGTACTACAGGTCCCAGTAAAGACAGGGGGCCTGACTGAGCACATTTCTTTCCATTTTTTGGACACACTCAGGTAGGAAAAATCTAAGACAGAGCTCACCGAGATAGGGAAAGTAGGAAAACCTACTCTGAGCAATTCTGAAATGCACAGTGCTTTATTATTCATAAATAAAAATAATGGTAAGCCTATTCCTTTCCCTTTTTCGGGTACATGAAGATAGGGAGGTTGGCATGGGTTGGCAGGGGGATGCCTGGCAGCTGCAAGGAGGTACCAGGGGCCAGGCACGGAAACTCCCCCTCCCCTTTTTAGCACACGGTGGAAGGAGATAGTCAACGTGGAGTAGCTCAAGCTACGAAGATGCCTGTGTGATGAAAGAGTGGGGTGGGGAGACTCAGCCGTATGCACAGACTCAGCCCTATGCAGATGGCACACCTGGTCCTAACCGGTTTTTTGTGCCCTATGTAGCTAAGATACCTCCTGCCCACTAGCTCATTTATAAAAACCCTTACATTTTACTGCGGTACGGCCCCCCCCCTTCTTTTTCTTTTGCCTGCACTCTGCTCCCTTAGAAACGCAGGTGGTTTTTTGTTTCATTTATTTATTTATTTAATTTTTTTGAGATGGAGTCTCGCTCTTGTTGTCCAGGCTGGAGTGCAGGGTCGCGATTTCGGCTCATCGCAACCTCCGCCTCCTGGGTTCAAGCGATTCTCCTGCCTCAGCCTGCGGAGTAGCTGGGATTACAGGCACCCACCACCACGCCTGGCTAGTTTTGTGTTTTTAGCAGAGACGGGGTTTTTCCATATTGGCCAGGATGGTCTCGAACTCCCAACTTCAGGGGATCCGCCCGCCTCGGCCTCCCAAAGTGCTGGGATTATAGGCATGAGCCACCGCGCCTCTGCCTCCCAGGCTCAACTGATCCTCCTGCCTCAGCGCCTTGAGTAGCTGGGATTTACAGGCTCATGCCACCACGCCTGGCGAATTTTTTTTTGTTTTTTGTATTTTAGTAAAGATGGAGTTTTGCCATGACTGGTCTCGAACTCCTCAGCTCAGACAATCTGCCCACCTCAGCCTCCCAAAGTGCTAAGATTACAGGTGTGAGCCACCGCGCCCGGCCTGTAACCTCACTCTTAGTGCATCCAAGTCCTTGATTTCCGTGGCTGTGAGACAAAGAAATTCTGGTGATATCACAGACTATTTCTCTTCTATTTCATAGAACAGACTATTTCTAGTCTATTTCGTAGAACAGACTATTTCTAGTCTATTTCGTAGAACAGACTATTTCTAGTCTATTTCGTAGAACAGACTATTTCTAGTCTATTTCGTAGAACAGACTATTTCTAGTCTATTTCGTAGAACAGACTATTTCTAGTCTATTTCGTAGAAGAGACTAGACTATTTCTCTTCTATTTCGTAGAACAGACTATTTCTAGTCTATTTCGTAGAACAGACTAGGCTATTTCTAGTCTATTTCGTAGAACAGACTAGGCTATTTCTACTCTATTTCGTAGAACAGACTAGGCTATTTCTAGTCTATTTCGTAGAACAGACTAGGCTATTTCTAGTCTATTTCGTAGAACAGACTAGGCTATTTCTAGTCTATTTCGGAGAACAGACTATTTCTAGTCTATTTCGTAGAACAGACTAGGCTATTTCTAGTCTATTTCGTAGAACAGACTAGGCTATTTCTAGTCTATTTCGTAGAACAGACTATTTCTAGTCTATTTCGTAGAACAGACTAGGCTATTTCTAGTCTATTTCGTAGACTAGACTATTTCTAGTCTATTTCGTAGAACAGACTAGGCTATTTCTAGTCTATTTCGTAGACTAGACTAATTCTCGTCTATTTCGTAGAACAGACTAATTCTCATCTATTCTACCGAGCACAGCATGTGCTAGTGAGTTTTTCACCCCTTTACTCCTCCCTCTCGTACTCTCCAGTGCAATGCCCTCATCTTGATGTTGATGGCCCACGGTTTCCATCCCACTCATACATGAGAACATGCAGTATTTGGCTTTCTGTTCCACCCTTAGTTCACTTAGGACTGTGGCCTCTGACTTCATCCGTGTTGCTACAAAAGACATGTGTTTTTTTGTTTGTTTGTTTTGTTTTTGAGATGGAGTCTCGCTCTGTCACCCAGGCTGGAGTGCAGTGGTGCGATCTCAGCTTACTGCAACCTCCACCTCTCAGGTTCAAGTGATTCTCCTGCCTCAGCCTCCCGAGTAGCTGAGATTACAGGCACGTGCCACCACACCTGGCTAATTTTTGTATTTTTAGTAGAGATGGGGTTTCACCATATTGGCCAGGCTGGTCTAGAACTCCTGACCTCGTGGTCCGTCCGCATCGGCCTCCCGAAGTGCTGGGATTACAGGTGTGAGCCACCATGCCCGGCCATGTTTTTATTCTTTCTTATGGCTGCAAAGTACCCTATGGTGCAGATATAGCCCCTTTTCTTTATCCAGTCCACCATGGATGGGTACCTGTGTCGATGCCACCTCTTTGCTGTTGTGACTGGTGCTGTGATGAACATATAGGTGCATGTGTCTTTGTGATAGGACAATATCTCCAGGAATGGGATTGCTGGGTGACATAGTAGTTCTGTTTTTTTCTTTTTTGTTTTTGTTTGGAGACAAGAGTTTTGCTCTTGTCCCCCAGGCTGGAGTGCAGTGGCGCGATCTCGGCTCACTGCAACCTCTGCCTCCCAGGTTCAAGTGATTCTCCTGCTTCAGCCTCCCGGGTAGCTGGGCTTACAGGCACCTGCCACCACACCCAGCTAATTTTTGAATTTTTGGTAGAGATGGTGTTTCAGCATTTTGGCCAGGCTGGTCTCGAACTCCCAACCTCAGGTGATCCTCCCGCCTCCGCCTCCCAAAGTGCTGGGATTACAGGCGTGATCCACCGTGCCCAGCCTCTGTTTTAATTTCCTCGAGAAATCTCTAAACAGTTGGAAGACAATTGCAAATGTTTCACAAGTCCCCCGCACCGCCACCAGGCAGAGTCTGCTGGCGACAAAAATCACCATGCCTGCCACAAATATTCTGCCCATTTCTCACCTGCGGATGGTCCCTCCTCCTCACCTGCCCCTCCTTAGAACAAGAGCAATAACAGGCGGCAAGGGACTTCCAGTGGTTTACACGCCCGTGTGATGCTGTGAATAGATTCTGACAAACTCAACTGGGGCAGGCAACTGGGGAAGATCCTCGGTGACTTAACTTGCTAACGATGGAAGACGGCTGGATCCTTTCAGCTACACTCCCTCCATCCACGGAGGTTCAAGATCCCAGGAGTGTTCAAGATCCCAGCAGCTCCAGCTCTCACGCTCAAGCTCAGCCAATGCAAAGGCCTCCCTTTCAGCATAAAAGGCTTCTGCCCAGGGAGATACAGCGTCTCGACCCCCACAAGAGGAAGCAGGTGACCTGGGAACTCATGACTTGTGGGATGAGTTCACCGGGGCTACCACAACGCAGTAACATCAACAGGGTGACGTGAACCATAGCAATGCATTTTCTCACAACGCTGGGGGCCAGAAGGTTGTTTTATAATCCTCCTCCTCTGACAATGCTGGGAGCCAGGGGTGCCAGATCAAGGTGCTGGCAGGGTTCATTCCTTCTGAGGGCTTTTTATAGTAAAACAATTTTTATTTGCTATTCAGTTATTATTCACTATGTTTATACATCTTTATACCTTTGTAAATATTTTTATTTAGTTTACATATATTTCATATATTTATGATGTTTTTATTTCTTCATTTATTTTGTTTATATATTTTTATAGATTTATATGACAACTTATATGTATTTTTATATATTTATAATTATTTTTATTTAGTTTATATAGTTTTATAGATTTATATTAGTTAGCTCATATGTATTTTTATGTATTTATCATTTTTACTTATTTATTTTGTTCATATATATTTATAGATTTATACATATTTTTATTTATTGAGCTTATAAAAATTTATATATAGTTTTAATTATTTTTATTTAGTTGATGTATATTTTTATTTTATTTTATGTTATTTATTTATTTATTTTTTGAGACGGAGTGTCACTCTGTCGCCCAGGCTGGAGTGCAGTGGTGCGATCTCGGCTCACTGCTAGCTCGGCCTCCCGGGTTCACGCCATTCTCCTGCCTCAGCCTCCCGAGTAGCTGGGACTACAGGCACCTGCCACTACACCCTACTAATTTTTTGTATTATTAGTAGAGACGGGGTTTCACCATGGTCTCGATCTCCTGACCTCGTGATCCGCCCACCTCGGCCTCCCAAAGTGCTAGGATTACAGGCGTGAGTCACCGCGCCCAGCCATACTTTTATAGATTTATAAATATTTTAATTTATTTTGTTTATATAAATTGTTATATATTTATAATTATTCATTTTGTTTATATAAATTGTTATATACTTATAATTATTTTTATTTAGTTAGTTTCTATATTTTTCACATCTTTATTTTCATATATATTTTTATATCTATTTTTATTTAGTTTCTATATTTTAATATATTTGTAATTATTTTTATTTATTTTGTTTCTGTGTATTATATATTGATAATTATTTCTTATTATTTAGTTTATATTTTTATATATTCATAATTATTTTAATTTATTTGTATATTTATAATTATTTATATATTTAAATATATTTGTTATTCATTGTATTTATTCATTTTGTTTATGCATATTTGCATATTTACACTTGTTTTTATTTATTTTGTTGATATCTTTTTATATATTCACAAGTATTTTTATTAGCCATTTAGTTTATAGGATTTTATATATGAGAGTTATTTTTATGTAGTTATTTCATTTATCTATTGAAGCTAACTTGGGAGAAGCTGGAATTCCTATAGAGGAGAATGGGATGGAAGCGATAATCACAGAAATGGCAGGAGATAACAGCTGTGAGTCAAACACATTTTCCGAAAAATGGCTGCCTTCTGGGTTCTCAGTGAAAATGTAAAAGAGAATCAATTCTAGACATATTCTGGGGGAATGTCAAACAAGAAAAAATAAAGAACATGCTGAGATTTTTTTTTTAAAAAAAGGTAGAACCTATACCGTTTATACGTTTTCACTTCATTTCGGCCACAAGAAATGACATAGTAATATTGAGTAGTCAATACTGATGGAAAAAAAAAAATCCTTCTCAAGAATTCTCCCTGAGATCATGGTAGAATTATATATATATATATATATTTTTTTTTTTTCAAAATACTGTTAAAATACTTTTAAATATAGTTGATTCCATTAACTATATTTCACTTGGTAATTGTCACATGCTGCAAACCCAAGGGATACACAGGAGACTATTTTCTTTTTTAATTTATTTTTATTTTTTATTTTTTAAGATGGAGTTTTGCTCTTGTCGCCCAGGCTGGAGTGCAATGGTAGGATCTCGGCTCCCTGCAACCTCCGCCCGCCGGGTTCAAGCGATTCTCATGCCTCAGCCTCCTGAGTAGCTGGGACTACAGGCGCCCGCCACCACGCCTGGCTAATTTTTGTATTTTTAGTAGAGACGGGGTTTCACCATGTTGGCCAGGCTGGTCTCAAACTCCCGAACTAAGGTGATCCGCCCGCCTCAGCCTCCCAAAGTGCTGGGATGACAGGCGTGATCCACTGTGCCCGGCCAGGAAACTACTTTCTAAGTAAGTGAATGAATTTTGAGTGGAATGGTCTAATCCTCTAAATCAAACCGTTTTTGTCATGGTTGATTTCTGCCTTCAGAGTGGTTAGGAAAGTGTAAAGAGGGCTGATTGTCAACAGGCACTTCAACATGCCTGAAACACGGAAAGTCAAACAGGTTATGATTGTTAAAAGTCTTGCAAAACTCAGAGCATAGCTAGCTCAGCCCTCTCGTCGGCTCTATCAAGCCACACAACAGGAACAAAATATCTTTAATAGGATTTTCTAAATACGTCCAAATCACGTGCATATTCCTCTCTGAGAGATGAAACCTCTATGAGTTTAATTTGTTTGATATTTTTCCTACGTAGACTACGGCCCTCTAATTAGGAAGAACGTCTTTTGCCACATTGCAGTTTAAACTGGGAGACTTTATAAATAATTAAAATATTTTCTAAAATTTCCCCAGTGGATATATGCTACCAAGAGTAACGTCCAGTTGGGAAGGAGACCTACCTAAGAAGAGATATTTGGAGAATTATTTTATGTATCTGCTGAAATGTTTATCACTTATATTTTGTTCCGGTTAGTTCCTATCAGTAGTTGGCTACTCAGTATTGCTGTGTCATTTCTTGTGGTTGGAATGAAGTCAAAACGGTATAGGTTCTGTCGTTGCTGCTGGTGTTGTTTTTAAATCTCAGCATAAACACTTCTTTATTTCTTTCTTGTTTGACATTCTATCAGAATATGTCTGGAATTGATTCTGTTTTAAAAAGCATGGGTGAATACAGTCCTGGGGAGTGTGTGTGTGTGTGTGTGTGTCTGTGTGTGTGTGAGAGAGAGAGAGAGAAGGAGAGAGAGGAAGAGAGAGGAGGGAGGAGAGAGAGACAGAGGAAGAGAGGAAGAAAGGAAGAGAGGAAGGGAGAAAGAAAGATAAAGGAAGAGAGGGAGGAAGACAGACAAGAAGACAGTAAGGGGAAGAGAGGGAAGAAGAGAATGAGAGAGAGAGGGACGGAGAAAGAGAGGAAGAGGGAGAGAGAGAGAGGAAGAAAGGCAGAGAGGGAAGGAGAGAGAGGGAGGAAGAGAGACAGGAAGGGGAAGAGAGAGAAGAGAATGAGAGAGAGACAGAGAAGGAGAAAGAAAGAGAATAAGGGGGAGACAGAGACAGAGAGAGGAAGAAAGACAGAGAAGGAGGAAGAGAGAGGAAGAGAGGCAGGAAGGGGGGAGAGAGAAGAAGAGAATGAGAGAGAGACAGAGAGGGAAGAAGGAAGAGAGGGAGGAAGAGAGAGGAAGAGAGGCAGGAAGAGGGGGAGAGAGAAGAAGAGAATGAGAGAGAGACAGAGAGGGAAGAAGGAAGAGAGGGAGGAAGAGAGAGGAAGAGAGGCAGGAAGAGGGGGAGAGAGAAGAAGAGAATGAGAGAGAGACAGAGAGGGAAGAAGGAAGAGAGGGAGGAAGAGAGAGGAAGAGAGGCAGGAAGGGGGGAGAGAGAAGAAGAGAATGAGAGAGAGACAGAGAGGGAAGAAGGAAGAGAGGGAGGAAGAGAGAGGAAGAGAGGCAGGAAGAGGGGGAGAGAGAAGAAGAGAATGAGAGAGAGACAGAGAGGGAAGAAGGAAGAGAGGGAGGAAGAGAGAGGAAGAGAGGCAGGAAGGGGGGAGAGAGAAGAAGAGAATGAGAGAGAGACAGAGAGGGAAGAAGGAAGAGAGGGAGGAAGAGAGAGGAAGAGAGGCAGGAAGAGGGGGAGAGAGAAGAAGAGAATGAGAGAGAGACAGAGAGGGAGGAAGGAAGAGAGAGAGGAAGAGGGAGAGACAGACAGAGGAAGAGAGGAAGAAAGACAGAGAAGGAGGAAGAGAGAGGAAGAGAGGGAGGAAGAGGGAGGAAGAGAGAGGAAGAGAGGCAGGAAGAGGGAGGAAGAGAGGAAGAGAGGCAGGAAGAGGGGGAGAGAGAAGAAGAGAAAGAGAGACAGGGAGGAAGGAAGAGAGGAAGAGGGAGAGACAGACAGAGGAAGAGAGGAAGAAAGAGAGGGAAGGAGAGGGAGAGAGGAAGAGAGAGGGAGGAAGAGACAGAGGAAGAGAGAAAAGAAGGGCAAAAGAGAGAAGAAGAGAATGAGAGAGACAGAGAGGGAGGGAGAAAGTGAGGAAGGGGGAGAGAGAGACAGAGAGAGGAAGAGAGGAAGAAAGAGAAGGAAAGAGACGAAGAGACAGAGGAAGAAAAGGAAGGAGAGAGAGAGGAAGAGACGGAGGAAGAGAGAGGGAGGAAGAGAAACAGGAAGAGGGAGAGAGAAGAGAGTGAGAGAGAGACAGAGAGGGAGGGAGGAAGAGAGAGAGGAAGGGAGAGAGAGAGAGGAAGAAAGGCAGAGAGGGAGGAAGAAAGAGAGAGAGGGAGGAGGAGAGACAGAAAGCCAGGAAGAGAGAGAGGCAGAGGACTGAGAGAGAGGAAGACTAGGAGGAGAGAGAGAAGAGGGATAGAGGAAATCAGAGAGAGTGGGAGAAAGAGAGAGTGGGAGAAAGAGGGAGGAAGAGAGAGGCAGAGAGAGAAAGAGACAGGAAGACACACACACACACACACACACAGGTGCATTCCACAAGCTACTTAGTGGAAAAGCAGATTCCTAACTTGTGTCCAGTCCTGCACATTTAGGGGCTATGAAAGGCTATTTCCGGCTGTCGTGCTATGTCTGTGCTCTCTTCGTCTTGGGCGTCCTGCAACAGAGAATCAACTGAGGTCCCTTCTTCAAATGCCCTCGCCTGAGTCTACATAAGGCTGAGGCCCAGGAGGGAGGGGGCTGCACTTGGGACCACTGGGAGGCCATTTGCTCCTGAGCCAGGGATGCAAGCGGAGCAGGTGAGTCGGTGCGGGGACCCTTTGCTGAGCGTGAAGCCTCAGGGAATTGCAAATGAAAGTCAGTCCCCCGTGAGAAAAGGAAGCAATAGTTCTAGCAGTGGCTTTAGTAATGAGGTAGTTGACGAGCTGTAGTAAGAGCATTAATTGCAGAAGTAGCACAGTAGAACTGGTAGTAGCAATAGTCCTGGCAGTGGTGGTAGTACTAATTGTTGAAGTAATAGTAACTATAGCAATGGCTGTATTAGTGGTGGTAGCAGTCCCAACAGTCCCGTATATAGTCCTTGGCGAGCATCTGGAGCTGCTGTACACATGCATTCCGTATATGAACTCACCTAATCCACTCAGTGACTTTGTTTTTTGTTTTTGTTTTTTTTCTAAGACGGAGTCTTGCTGGGTTGCCCAGGCTGGAGTGCAGTAACAAGATCTTGGCTCTCTGCAACCTCCGCCTCCTGGGTTCAACCAATTCTCCTGCCTCAGCCTCCCGAATAGCTGGGACTACAGGCGGATGCCACCAAAGCTGGCTAATTTTTGTATTTTCAGTAGAGACGGGGTTTCGCCATGTTGTTCAGGCTGGTGTCGAACTCCTGACCTCAGGTGATCCACCTGCCTCGGCCTCCCAAAGTGGTGGGATGACAGGCGTGAGCCACGGCGACCGGCCTAATCCCTGTTTTCATTTAAGCCTTCTGGGTTTGGTGTCATGCTCCCCCTGTGTTTCTGGAAGTCTTCTGAGATAACTGCAGAGTTTATGTAAATATAGATGTTACTCACCATGTGTTTCTTTCTGGAAGTCTTCTGAGATAATTGCAGAGTTTATTTAAATACAGACGTTAGTCAGCATTGGAAGGTATAGCGGGTTGAAGAGTATTTCTCCCAAATTGACATCCACCCAGAACCTCAGAATGAGATCTTATTTGGAAATAGGGTCATAGCTGATGGAATTAGTTGAGATGAGATCATCTTGGGTTAGAATGGGTCCTGAATGCAGAAGTATCCTCCCCTAGAGCCTCCAGAGGGAACTGAATGGCGACCCCCAAAATATGTTGATGTCCTGTTCTCCAGAACCTGTGAATGGAACCGTATTTGGAAATAAGGTCTTTGCAGATGCAGTTAGTTAAGGATCTGGAGATGAGATCGTCCTGGAGTAGGGTGGGCCCTAAATGCAATGACAGGTGTCTTTCTAAGACAGAAGAGGAGACACAGACACAGAGGAGGAGGCCACATGGAGGTGGAGGCAGAGACTGGAGTGATGCGGCCACAAGCCCTGGGATGCCTGGAGCCCCCAGGAGTGGGAAGAGGCAGGTTTCCTTAGAGCCTCCGGAGGGTGTGTGGTCCTGAGACACCTTGATCTCAGACTCCTGGTCTCCAGAACTGGGAGAGGATGAATCTCTATTGTTTGAAACTACTCATTTTGTGAACACGATTTTTAGGAAAGTCCCAGAAAAGTCATACAGAAGGATTTAAGAGTCCCTTTCTAAAGAAATCCTGATGCCACCCAAAATATTCATAAGCATGAAGGCGGCTCCTTCCAGACATGACTGAGTAATTTTTAATAACTACAACTTTGAGGTTCTCAAAAGTCTTTTTGGGGCACCCTGCTCAATTACTTTACAAATTCATGCTGATAAAACTTCACAATGGGAAGCTATAAATTTGGCAAGGCATGGCAGGGGACAGGGCAGAAGTGTTTCAATAAGTTGTCTAATTCTTTTTTTTTAACTTTTTAAAAAATTATTATACTTTAAGTTCTGGTATACAGTGCAGAACGTGCAGGTTTGTTACATAGGTATGTGTGTGCCATGGTGGTTTGCTGCATCCATCAACCCATCATCTACCTTATGTATTTCTCCTAATGCTCTCCCTCCCCTAGCCCCTCACCCCCTGACAGGCCCCCAGTGTGTGATGTTCCCTCCCTGTGTCCATGTGTTCTCATTGTTCAGCTCCCACTCATGAGTGAGAACATGTGGTGTTTGGTTTTCTGTTCTTGTGTTAGTTTGCTGAGAATGATGGTTTCCAGCATCATCCATGTCCCTGCAAAGAACATTAACTCATCCTTTTTTATGGCTGCATAGTATTCCATGGTATATATGTTAGGCTGTCTAATTCTTTATACATTGCTCTCTGCATCCTGGCTGAGTGCTGCATTGCTGGGAGGTTGTCAGAAGCTGAGACAAAAGCTGCTGTGTGCTGCTTTCTGGCTTTTCTCCCTTGTCCTTTTATCTTGGCACAAAGTCAAATAAAACTACAAGAGAAGACTATCTTCCCATTTCATCCCCTTTTCAGCTCCCCATCCTGCTGAAAGCCACTTTCATTACTCAATAAAATACTCTACCTATCTGTGCAGAGTATGCCAAAGGTTCTGCCCACATCAAAGACCCTTTCTTGCCATATGTTAACAGGCCACCCACATCAGGACCATGTCAGACCATGACAGGATATTGTTCTTGTCAATGTCCCTCTCGTTGGACTGGTTTATACACCCTTTTTTCTTTTCTTTTCTTTTGAGATAGAGTCTTGCTGTGTTGCCCAGGCTGGAGTGCAGTGGCGCGATCTCGGCTCATGGCAACCTCCACCTCCTGGGTTCATGCCATTCTCCTGCCTCAGCCTCCCGAGTAGCTGGGACTACAGGCGTCTGCCACCACGCCTGGCTAATTTTTTTGTATTTTTAGTAGAGATGGGGTTTCACTCTGTTAGCCAGACAGGTCTCTATCTCCTGATCTCATGATCTGCCCCTCTTGGCCTCCCACAGTGCTGGGATTACAGGCGTGAGCCACCGCGCCCAGCCTTATTAACCCTCTTTTCTATTCCCTTTCTCTTGATGGTAAATGTTGCTTTGTTTGTTGTGGAATGTTTAACCTGTACCATTGATATATTGATTAAGTATACTATTACGTATGGTTTGCAATATTAACTAACTTGGGGAGTGGCTTGAGCCTGTATGACTACAGCTCTGACTACCAAGTGAATGGGAAGCACTAAGGAGAATTGCCTCCTTGGGAACTCCATGTAGCTCGTGGTGATATGGACAGGAGGAAGGGAAATACTGGGTAGAAAAGCGTGGGGTCCTTGGCAAGTGCTCCACCCTCAAGCCTGGGCCCATGGTCCTAAATGACAACTTCACATCCCTTCACATACAGTAAGCATGACTGGGGAGGCCTCAGGAAACATACAATTATGGCAGAAGGCAAAGAGGAGGGAGGCATGCACGTCTTACATGGCACGAGCAGGAGGAAGAGAGCAAAGGGGGAAGTGCTACACACTTTTAAACAACAAGATCTCATCAGAACTCACTCACTATCATGAGAAGAGCAAGGAAGAAATCTTTCCCCATGATCTAATCACCTCCCACCAGACCTCTCCTCCATCACTGGAGAATCACAATTTGACATGACATTTGGGTGGGGACACAATCCAAACCATATCAAGTGCCAAACTGAAAGTGCAGGAGAGTCACATTCTCCACCAGTTACTGATGGATATAGAGTATCAACACCCCAGCTCCCTCACCCCTCTGCTAGGATAATTCCCAGGTGGGTGTTTTATGCTGTTTCCCAGAGCATCACAATAAGATTATGTCCTAGGTGCCCTCTGTAGAGCTGGCTTAATAATTCACCCCTCATTGGTGTATGCCCTTCCCTGTATAACCTTCCCCTGACCCCCTGCCCTGGCCAGAGCCCTTACCCTGGTCAGTGTCCCTACCCTTTCCGTTACTCAATCCTTAACCCAGGGTCTGTTTCTGGGAGAAGCCCAGTTGAGATACTTTACCTAGATTATAGTGGGGAAGGAGGTGATGGGAGGAATAGATAAAAACTATATTGGTTGTTCAGGGAGAAATTATTGCAACTTGGGCCAGGGTGAGGACAGAGGTGCAGTGGTGAGACATGGGCAGATTGGGGACCTGCTGATAAATTAGATGGATGGGTAGGAAAGACCCAATGTGGTTGTCTGTGCTTCTTCTTTTTTCTCTCTCTCTCTCTCTCAGGTTATTGCTGTGACCTTTTTCTACCTCATTTATTTCTCTGTTGTTTGTTCTATTTTTCCGCCCTCTCTCTTTCACCTTGCCATATCCGGCTCTCCCACACCCATCACCTCGATCTGGCTCATTAACATTATTGCAGAATTTAATTCAACTCGACACTTTTGCAGAGCACCTCGTAGGTGTCAGACACAGAGCCAAGTACCAGGGAGACGGAAATGACTACTTCACATCCAAGGTGCAATGGGCATATGGAATAAATAATAAGGATATGGCATAAAATTGCAACCAAGCCTATCTAGTGTGAGGAGAAAGTTTGGAAAAACAAAAATTGTTAGTCTTTACTAAAGAGTGTTTTTAAATCTCCATTGTAAAATCCAATGGGTATCTATTCATATATCTGTCTTGATAGACAAATGCATCCACTTGTACAGGTACATACACACAAAGAAACAAATGCATAAATAATAAATAATCCCTATCTAATTAATTGAAGTAGTTATTTTGCAATGTGAACCTTCAAGAGAAAAGAGATTTTCACCAGAAGTGGCTCACTAGAACAACAATTATTGTTTGTATAACACATTATGATTTTCAAGAAACTGTATAATTTAGCTCATTTGTCTCTTCTAACAGTTCTGTGGGGCAGGTGACATTATTACCACCCTCATCATCATCATTACCACCATCACCATTATCACTATCACCATCATTTCCATCACCATTGTCATCACCATCACCATCATCATCATTATCACCACCATCACCATTATCTCCATCAGCATCATCATCATCACCATCATCACTACCATCACCATTATCATCACCATCATCATTGCCACTATTATCATCATCATGATCATTGCTATCACCATCATCAACATCATTATCATGACCATCACATCATCACCATCATTATCACCATCAACACCATCACTGTCATCACCATCACCATCATCACTATCACCATCATCATCACCATCATCATCGCCACTATTATCATCATCATGATCATTGCCATCACCATCATCACCATCATTATCATGACCATCACATCATCACCGTTATCATCATCACCATCACATCATCACCATCATCATTATCACCATTATCACCATCACTATCATCATCACATCACATCATCACTGTCAGCATTATCATCATCATCACCATCATATCATCACCATCATCATCATCACCATCATTACATCAGCAGCATCATCATCCTCACTATCACTATTATCACCATCACCATCATCACCATCATCATTACCATCATCATCACCATCATCGTCATCACCATCACCATCACCATCATCGTCGTCATGTTACGGAAGACAAAACTTGGGTTCACAGAAGTTGAGCCTTTCCCAAGGCCACAGAGCTTAAAATTAATGACACCACTCCTACCCACTCCTTAGAAATGCTAAACCTTTTTCTTTCTTTCTGTACCCACTGCTGCTGCCACATACCAGAAACTTGCTTTCAAAATCATACGTGATTTGCCTTTTTCCCTCTTTCTCTTCTCTCCTTCCTGCACGTGCTTCCTGGAGTGTGAGAGCTACCGTCTTGGATCATGAGGACAAAGAGAATATGACCTAGGGGAGGGAAAGCAAGGAAAGAAGATGAGCCTTATTTTTGAGGACTGTGTGACACAAAGGCACAATGCCAGCCCTGGACCGTGTACCTCAGGGTCACCTTTACGTAAGAGAGGAACAAACTTCTGTTGCTTTAAAGCACTGTTGTTTTAGGGTTTCCGTGTCAGCCAAGCCTAATCCTGATACAACATTCAAGCTCCATGTAGCTTGCAAATAACCCCCAAGCTCTTACATCGGTACACACCCTAAACCCTCTATTACAACTACCTCCAAAGGCAGCTCAGCCATTTCTGTAATCTGATTTGCTTTTCATCCCTGCTGGAAAGGATAGAGGCAGTGACCTTCAAGGACAGTCCTGAATGAAAGGCATCCGATTGCGCCAGGTAAACATAGTGTACGGGGATAAGCGTTTGTTTGCAAAGCTCCAGCTCACCCTGAGTAATCTCGCAAAGAGCTATTAAAAAGCATTAAAAATTTAGTGTTGTCCTAAAATGCACATTTTCCATCTCGGATCAGGGTTGAGTCAGTGAAGGAAGGCAGGCAATCTTTGGCCTGAGACAACCTTTATCCCTCGTTCCAAATTAATCATCACGGCTAAATGAGTTATGAAAGCTCTCAAGCCATCGTCCTGCAAAGCTCCGGGAAAGGGAGATGGTGAATCATCATTAGACAGCTCGCCGGCTGACAGTGTGGTCACTCCAAACTCTAGCTAGGTATTACTGAGTTTCAGCCTTTCCCGTCTTCCTACGCCATCATCCTTGCATGTGGCTGACCAAATCCTGCTCTGCAAAGACCACTCATCTTCAGAACACAGTCCCTGCCTCAGGATGGTTTTTTCGACACAATAAGCTGCCAGTTATTACAGGCAGTCAGGTTTGGAGCATAAAGATGGCTCCTGTCGGAGAGCAAGCTCTTCTTGATGATACCAAGCAGTTCTGCAAGCTCTTTAGACTAAATCCGCAGAGTGCTGAGAAAGGGTAGGGCTGATCCTAGCAGATGGATGAAATGCTCAGTGGTAATATATTTACATAAGTCGGCTGACCCATGCCCAAATACCACTCTGCTGCCGACTTTGCGGAGAGCCAGGAGAGCACGCATAGAGGCGTGAGGAGCAGTCTGCAAGCTGATTCCTGATATTGCAATGAGCAAAACAGTCTTCAGAATTTACTCCCCCCGCAAAGAAAGACCTCTGGGTTTTCTCATGCCAAAAATTCAAATTTATCTTGCAGAGAGGGTGAGGATTTCATCCAGTCCAAAGAAAATGAGATGGAGGGAAAAGTATCTCAGGAAATGATTCCAAAACATTTTCAAAAGACATCGTGTGATGCTTTCAAAAACAGTGTCGGCCAGGCGCAATGGCTCAAACCTGTAATCCCAGCACTTTGGGTGCCCAATGCAGGAGGATTACTTGAGGCCAGGAGTTCAAGATCAGCCTGGGCAACAAAGCAAGACCCCATCTCTATTTAAAAAAGAAAAAAAATAGAAAAAATTAGCCAGGCTTGCTGGCACATGCCTGTAGTCCCAGCTACTTGGGGGTCTGAGGTGGGAGGATCACTTGACCCCAGGTGTTTGAGGCTGCAGTGAGCCATTATCACGTCACTGCATTACAGGCTGGACAACAGAGCAAAACCCTGTCTTTAAAAAAAAAGGTTAAAGAAAAAACTGTTTACAAGAATGTGACAAAGGTTTTGTGTGTATGTCTGTGTTGTGGGGAAACAGGATGAGACAGCAGATAAAGAAAACACAGGGACCAGGCGTGGTGGTTCATGCCTGTAATCCCAGCACTTTGGGAGGTCGAGGCAGGTGAATCACGAGGTCAGGAGTTTGAGACCAGCCTGGCCAACATGGAGAAACCCTGTCTCTAGTAAAAATACAAAAATTAGCTGGGCATGGTGGCAGGCACCTGTAATGCCAGCTACTTGGGAGGCTGAGGCAGGAGAATTGCTTGAACCCGGAAAGCAGAGGTTGCAGTGAGCTGAGATCACACCACTGCACTCCAGCCTGGGCAACAGAGCAAGGCTCTGTCTCAAAAAAAAAAAGAGGCTGGGCACGGTGGCTCACGCCTGTAATCCCAGCACTCTGGGAGGCCGAGGCAGGCAGTTCACGAGGTCAGGAGATCGAGACCATCCTTGCTAACACGGTGAAACCCTTTCTCTACTAAAAATACAAAAAAATTAGCGAGGTATGGTGGCGGGCGCCTGTAGTCCCAGCTACTCGGGAGGCTGAGGCAGGAGAATGGTGTGAACCCGGGAGGTGGAGCTTGCAGTGAGCCGAGATCACGCCACTGCACTTCAGCCTGGGCAACAGAGTGAGACTCCGTCTGAAAAAAAAAAAAAGAAAAAAAAAAGAAAAGAAATCACAGGACCTGATTTTAATTTTAATTTAATTTAATTTATACTACTGACTAAAATAGCATTTTCAGGCCGGGCACAGTGGTTTATGCCTGTAATGTCAGCACTTTTTGGGAGTCCAAGATGAAGGGTGCTCAGAAGTTGGAGTGGCTCTCACTGGAAATGCCGAGTTATGAAGATCGAATGAATAGGACAGATTGGAAAATTCAAAAGTGTAGGAAGATCAATTCTTTCAAAACTGATTTATTGAGTTTCATGACTGTTTAATGTGAGTCTCCCTTGGAGGCTACTAGTAACCGTGAAACCAGGACACAAGTTTATTTGTTCACTTTTTTTTTTTTTGAGGTGGAGTCTCGCTCTGTTGCCCAGGCTGGAGTGCAGTGGCGCGATCTCAGCTCACTGCAACCTCCGCCTCCAGGGTTTAAGCAATTCTCCTGACTCAGCCTCCAGAGTAGCTGGGATTATAGGTGCCCGCCACCACGCCTGATTAATTTTTGTATTTTTAGTAGAGATGGGGTTTCACCATGTTGGTCAGGCTGGTCTCGAACTCCTGACCTCGTGATCTGCCCGCCTCGGCCTCCCAAAGTGCTGGGATTACAGGCATGAGCCACCACGCCCTGCCCCAAACATGCTTTTAACATAGTTATTGCAAATGTGTCAAAGTATGCCATTCAAAGAACAATCACAACAATAAGAATACACTTCAGTTGAGTGAAAGACCAAACCTTCACTGTACATGACCTACTGGACACTCTATATGTAAAGACCTTAGGCAAATTCAAGTGTGAATTTAAGGCAGAAAATAGCAAATGGGGTGAAAACGGAAATTTTATATTCCTCAAAGCCACAGTGGAGAGTGAATATTTAATCTCCAGCAGCCTTCCTGTGTCAGCACAAAATTAAATAAATAAGCCAATAGGGGCAGGGCACGGGTGGCTCACGCCTGCAATCCCAGCACTTTGGGTGGCTGAGGTGGGTGGATCACGAGGTCAGGAGATTGAGACCATCCTGGCCAACATGGTGAAACCCCGTCTCTACTAAAATACAAAAAAAAAAAAAAAAAATTAGCTCGGCGTCATGGTGCACACCTGTAGTCCCACCTACTTGGGAGGCTGAGGCAGGAGAATCGCTTGAACCCGAGAGGCGGAACTTGCAGTAAGCTGAGATCATGCCACTGCACTCCAGCCTGGCGACAGAGCAAGACTCCAAAATACTTTATTTGTGAAATGCTCTTGAACATTTACAGAAATCAATTCAATAGAAATGAGGAAGAGCGGCCGGGCGTGGTGGCTCGCACCTGTAAATCCCAGCACTTTGGGAGGCCGAGGTGGGTGGATCACCTGAGGTCAGGAGTCCGAGACCAGCCTGGCCAGCTGTGGGGAAAAAAAAGAGAGATCAGACTGTTACTATGTGTGTGTAGAAAAAGGAAGACATAAGAAACTCCATTTTGATCTGTACTAAGAAAAATTGTTCTGCTTTGAGATGCTGTTAACCTGTAACTTCAGCCTTAACCGTGTGCTCACAGAAACATGTGCTGTGTCTTGTTAACAATAGATTTGCAGGCAGCCTGCTTGGTAAAAGTCATCGCCATTCTCCATTCTCCATTAACCAGGGACACCATGCACTGCGGAAAGCCGCAGGGACCTCTGCCCGAGAAAGCCTGGGTATTGTCCGAGGTTTCCCCCCACTGAGACAGCCTGAGATATGGCCTCATGGAGAGGGAAAGACCTGACCATCCCCCAGCCCGACACCCATAAAGGGTCTGTGCTGAGGAGGATTGGTAAACGAGGGAGGTCTCTTTGCAGTTGAGATAAGAGGAAGGCCTCTATTTCCCGCATGTCCCCGGGAATGGAATGTCTCCATGTAAAGCCGACCATTCCTTCTATTCTGATAGGAGAAAACTGCCCTGTGGCTGGAGGCGAGCTATGCTGGCAGCAATCCTACTCTGTTACTCTTCGCTACACTGAGATGTTTGGGTAAAGAGAAACATAACTCTAGCCTACGTGCACATCCGGGCACAGTACCTTCCCTTGAACTTATTTATGATGCAGATTCCTTTCCTCACATGTCTTCCTGCTGACATTCTCCCCACCATCACCCTATTCTCCTGCCACACTCCCCTTGCCAAGATAGTGAAAATAGTTATCAATAAATACTGACGGAACTCAGAGACCAGCGCTGGTGCAGGACCTCACATGCTGAGTGTGCCGGTCCCCTGGACTCACTATTCTTTCTCTATACTTTGTCTCTGTGTCTTATGTCTTTTCTCAGTCTCTTGTGTCCACCTGATGAGAAATACCCACAGGGGTGGAGGGGCTGGCCCCCTTCAGCCAACATGGCAAAACCCCATCTCTACTAAAAATACAAAAATTATCTGGTCGTGGTGGCGCACGCCTATAGTCCCAGTTCATCGGGAGGCTGAGACGGGAGACTCGCTTGAGCCCAGGAGGTTGAGGCTGCAGTGAGGTGTGATCGTGCCACTGCACTCCAGCCTGGGTGACAGAGCCAGACTCTATCTCAGAAAAAAAAAAGAGTGAGGTAGGACTAACTAAAACAGGTACAGGGCAGAAGCACCTCTGTGTCAGACACACCCACCAGTGTGCCATGTCAGTTTACCGTTGCCATGGCAACAATCCAATGATCCGGACGTTACCGCCCTTTTTCTAGAAATTTCTGCATCACCGCCCCTTCATTTGCATGTAATTAGCAGTGGGTATCAATATGCCTGTAGAACTGCCTCTAAGCTTCTGCTCCAGGTGCATTGCCTACGGGGTAGCCCCGCTCTGGAAGGATCCAAGCGTTTGCCGCTGCTGTGCACGGCCAGGATGCTTCAATAAAACCTGCTGTGTAGGCCCAGCGCGGTGGCTAAGGCCAGTAATCGCAGCACTTTGGGAGGCCGAGGCGGGCAAATCACTTGAGGTCGGGAGTTCGAGACCAGCCTGGCCAACATGGTGAAACCCCGTCTCTACTAAAAATACGAAAATTAGCTGGGCGTGGTGGTGCGTGCCTGTAGATCCAGTTAATCGTGAGGCTGAGGCAGGAGAATTGCTTGAACCCGGGAAGTGGAGGCTGCAGTGAGCTGAGATCACGCCACTGCACTCCAGCCTGGGCAACAACAGAGGATAATTAATAAATAATTGCGCTACTGCACTCCAGCCTGGATGATAGAGTGAGACCCCATCTCAAAAAAAAAAAAAGTTGCTGTCTAACACCACCGGCTCGCCCTTGAATTCTTTTCTGGGCAAAGCTAAGAACCCTCTTAGGTTACCCTGATGTAGGGGCTCACCTGCCCTGCATCAGAAGGGCTCACCTTTTTCTCTCTACCCTCTGGCCTCACCTGGCATAATCAGGCTCAGTGAGAACATGCTGGAATAGGGTTGATGAGTCAGAGGTTGGATTTGACTCGTGCCTCGCTGGGGATCAATTCTCATAGCCCACAATCCAGCACTCCTGACAGTCAGGTGTGATAACCCAATGCATAGATGAAAGCAGGTGCATTGTGGCTGAGTGCCCAGGGACATGATACGTAGCCTATTTATTAATTATCCTCTGTTTTCAAGCATCTGGGATCTCCCTGATTCCTCTGCAGGACATGCTGAAACCTCAATGACTTGGGTACCTACATTTACCATTTGTTTTTGTTCTTGTTCTTTGTTGTTTTTTTCGTGAGTTTTTGTTTTGTTTTGTGTTTTAGACGGAGTCTCGCTCTGTTGCCAGGCTGGAGTGCAATGGGCTATCTCAAGTCACCACAACCTCTGCCTCCAGGGTTCAAGCGATTCTCCTGCCTCAGCCTCCCGAGTAGGTGGGATTACAGGCGCCCACCACCACGCCCGGCTGACATTTGTATTTTTGGTAGAGACAGGGTTTCACCATGTTGGCCAGGCTGGTCTCAAACTCCTGACCTCAGGTGATCTGACTGACCGCCTCAGCCTCCCAAAGTGCCGGGAGGACAGGCGTGAGCCATCACGCCCGGCCGATTATCGTCTGTTTTTATGCATTCAGTGTCCCCTTGATTCCTCTGCAGGAGATGCTGAAACCTCAATGACTTGGGTACCTACGGTTAATCCATTCCCTTTCTTCCCAGTGTGTCTCCCTGAACCACCTAGTTTAGTCACCTTCAGCGCCCCTGCGCCTAGCTCAAGTAGGCATTCCATAAAGAATTGCTGGATACATAAGCCAATGCGTGGCCCAGAGGCACGGCGTGAATTCCAAGACAGCCGAGGCTGGATTGATGATAACGGCAGACCATGCTTTTGCATTCTCATTGGACATCTACACCCTGGTGGAGAGTCTGTAATAAAAATGCAATTTCCACATGTGGATTTCCAAGCTCTTTGCTCAGGAAAGAGGTGGCTTGACAGGAATCCTTTCCAGCGCAAGAGGAAGTCATTGACCTTGAAGCTGGTCAGCTTCTTGGACCTGGCTTTCAACGCCAGGCCCGCCTGGGTTGTGTGTCCTTGCAGAAGTCATTTTCATCTTTGGAAGTTTTTCCTTTCTCGGGAAAAGATGAGTATTATGAACGGAACTGTGTCTCACTAAATTCCTAGGTTGAACCCCTGACCCCCAGGACCTCAAGATGTGACTGTGTTTGGAGTTGGGGTGTTTAAAGAGGGGATTAAGGTAAAATGAGGTCAGTAGGGTGGGCCCTTATCCAATAGGACTGGGGTCCTTATAAGAAGAGGACATGAGGACACAGACACACACAGAGGGGAGACCCTGTGAGGACACAGGGAGAAGATGGTGTCTCCAAGCCCAGGAGAGAGGCCTCAGGAGGAACCAGCCCTGCCCACACCTGGATCTCAGACTTCCAGCCTCCAGGACTGTGGGAGAATCAATGTCTGCTGTTTATAAGCCACCCAGCCTCTGGTATTCTGTGACAGCAGCCTGAGATGGACTAAGCCATCTCATAAGGAGAGGAGATGGGGACACAGACACACACAGAGGGACGACCCTGTGAGGGCACAGGGAGAAGACGGCATCTCCAAGCCCAGGAGAGAGGCCTCAGGAGGAACCAGCCCTGCCCACACCTTGATCTTGGACGTCCAGCCTCCAGGGCTGTGGGAGAATCAATGTCTGTTGTTTCTAAGCCACCCAGTCTATGGTATTCTGTGATAGCAGCCTGAGATGGACTAAGACACCTCATAAGAAAAGGAGACGAGGACACAGACACACATAAAGGGGCGACCCTTTGAAGACACAGGAGAAGACGTCATCTACAAGCCAAGGAGAGTGGCCTCAGGAGGAATCAGCCCAGCTCACATCTTGATCTCGGACTTCCAGCCTCCAGGACTGTGGGAGAATCAATGTCTGCTGTTTAACCCTCCCAGTCTCTGATATTTTGTTACGGCAGTGTGAGAATAGTAATACAAGGAATTATGATAATTGTCTTATCAGGATAATATATACTCAAGGTGATGAGAATCATATAAATCAATGCAACGTGAACACACTCTCTTAGCTATCATCTTTCTTTTCATTTAAAGAAACAGAGGACAGGCCGGGCGCAGTGGCTCATGCCTGTAATCCCAGCACTTTGGGAGGCTGAGGCAGGTGGATCACCTGAGGTCAGGAGTTTGGGACCAGCATGACCAACATGGTGAAACCCCGTCTCTACTAAAAATACAAAAATTAGCCAGGCGTGGTGGCGGGTGCCTGTAATCCCAGCTACTGGGGAGGCTGAGGCAGGAGGATTGCTTGAACCCGGGAGGCAGAGGTTGCAGTGAGCCGAGATCCAGCCACTGCACTCCAGCCTGGGCAACAAGAGTGAAACTCCACCTCAAAAAAAAAACGAAAAATAAAAAGAAACAGAGGACATAGGAAATCATGTTTACTTGTTGACTTTGGTTAAACAGAAGACAAGAGGGTGATTTCTGGATTCTGTAGAACTGAGACACTGTGTGTGTGTCTGTGTGTGTGTGTGTGCCTGTGTGTGTGTCTGTGTGTGTGTGTGTGTCTTTGTGTGTCTATGTCTGTGTGTTTGTGTGTGTGTCTCTGTATGTGTCTGTGTCTGTGTGTGTTTGTGTGTGTCTGTGTGTGTCTTTGTGTCTGTATGTGTCTCTGTGTGTTTGTGTGTGTCTTTGTGTGTCTGTGTATGTGTGTTTGTGTGTGTGTCTTTGTGTGTGTCTGTGTCTGTGTGTGTCTGTCTGTGTATGTTTGTGTCTGTGTGTCTGTGTGTGTCTGTATGTGTCTGTGTGTGTCTGTATGTGTACATATGTGTGTGTGTCTGTGTCTGTGTGTACACGTGTGTGTGTCTATGTGTGTGTCTCTGTGTATCTTTGTGTGTGTCTGTGTGTGTGTGTACACATGTATTTGTGTGTCTGTGCGTGCATATGCCTGCATGCACCTGTGTGTGTAGGGAGGTAAGACAGGTACCTAATGATGGAAATCGTAATCATGGAAAAATAAAGGGTTAGCAACATCAGTCCAGGTTTTAGTCATTGCCACGAAAATAGCAAGGTACTGACCATTTTGGTATATTCTGATTTTCCAGAAGAAAAAGGAACAGCTTTCCCGGGAGAATTACAATCATTCGGGTAATGACTATGATCATTTGATGGAAACGTTAAATGAATTCTATTGGGGTTTCTCTGAAACAAATCTATTTTAAAGCAGCTGCCTATTTAAACCAAATCCTTCAGCTTCCAGTAATAACTCAAAAATGACCACCATTTAAAAGCCAGCCCAGCCCAGCCTCTGGTCACTTAGCAATCAAGGATACGTGACTGAATGCTGCCAAATCATGAGATGACCTGTGATGTACCCCTCTGCCAGCAGTCATCCTTGTATTCAAATGCCTCTAGTCACAATCTCAGACGTTCAGAGAAAAGGCACGCAGCGATGATACAATGCAATCTTGATTCTTTAATATTTGCTCGAGGAAATGATGGGACTCAAATGCAGCCGGCACGGACACGGGAGGATTTCAGCGCGACGCTGACAGCTGTTCGTTAGGCACGGATGAAGCTGTGTCCGTCCCAGCATTTCATTCTGCCGGCCTCAGACATTCTCTCATGGGAAGTCCAGGACGCCAGTGACTCGTGGAGAATGTGAAATTGCAGCAGGAAAAAGAGAGACAGAGAGGGAGGCAGAGACAGAGAGGGAGAGACAGAGAGACAGAGAGGGAGACAGAGACAGAGAGACATGCAGAGAGACAGGGAGGCAGAGACAGAGAGACAGGGAGACAGAGACAGAGTGACAGAGATAGGGACAGACAGAGACAGGCAGAGAGGGAGACAGAGACAGAGAGACAAGCAGAGAGACAGGGAGGCAGAGACAGAGAGAAGCAGAGAGAGAGACAGAGGCAGAGAGAGAGACAGAGAGAGGCAGAGAGACAGAGGGAGGCAGAGAAGAGAGACAGAGACAGAGAGAGAGACAGAGATAGAGACAGGCAGAGAGGGGACAGAGACAGAGAGACAGAGGCAGTGACAGAGACAGAGGGGGGACATAGACAGAGAGACCGAGGCAGACAGGGAGACAGAGAGGGACTGAGAGGGAAGGAGACAGAGAGAGAGACTGGGAGCAGGGGAGAAAGAGAGAGAGAGACAGAGAGACAGAGAAAAGAGAGAGAGAAGGAAGACACAGAAAGAGACAGGGAAAGGGATGAGAGAGAAGCAGTAGGAGAGGGGAGGACAGGCTGAACCGGGCTGGTAGGAGGGCAGTGGCCGTGAGGAAGGAGCCGCCACCATCAGACAGGCACCTCCCCTGCTTGATTTTCCTTCTGTGTCCGGCGGGCATGGGGCGGTAGCTCGCCACGCCTTGGCCGGGACCAGAGCACATGGGGCTACTGCAGCCTTAACGGGGAGTCACAGTTAAATGAACTTAGCTGCCCCTTCCTGTGGACGGCTCGAATGGCCACACAGCGGACAAGATGATTGCGCCATATGAACCGGATCAGAGGCAAAGGGAGAAAATGAACTCCTCGGAGACTTACAGATAAATTCGTTAAGAGATTGTGACTCTTACCGTATCTGCTTTCTTAGGAGGAGATTTCACAAGATGCTGCTAATAAATGATGACTTGGAAAAAATCCAGATTGTGGAGAATGTGGATTTCAATCCCACCCTGGGGATGATCTATGAATAGAAATGAGAGGAGGAGAAAAATGAGTGTGAGGCTTATGACTCCACCAGGTGTCTTTCTGGCAGTGATGATGGTTTTGCCATTGGATTCTGAATTTTAGAGCACAAAGCGGTCTGGAATTAATGGAGTTCCAAGTCTCTGGCGCTCAGGCAGGTGCCCAAGCTTGTCATCACTACGTATTCCTGGACGCAGAGTGGAACTCTGAAGGATAGTTAGGGTCTGTTGTGCTGTCCCCATAAAATATGAGGTCTTGGCTGGGCACGGTGGCTCACTCCTGTAATCCCAGCACTTTGGGAGGCCGAGGTGGGTGGATCATTTGAGGTTAGGAGTTTGAGACCAGCCTGGCCAACATGGTGAAACCCCGTCTCTACTAAAATCACAGAAATTGGTTGGGCGCGGTGGCTCACGCCTGTAATCCCAGCACTTTGGGAGGCCGACGCAGGCAGATCACAAGGTCAGGAGATCGATACCATCCTGGCTAACACGGTGAAACCCTGTCTCTACTAAAAATACAAAAAAAAAAAAAAAAAAAATTAGCTGGGCATGGTGGCGGGCACCTGTAGTCCAAGCTACTCGGGAGGCTGAGGTAGGAAAATGGCTTAAACCAGGGAGGCGGAGCTTGCAGTGAGCTGAGATTGTGCCACTGCACTCTAGCCTGGGTGACAGAGCGAGACTCCATCTCAAAAATGAAAAATAAAAAAATCACAAAAATTAGCCAGACGTGGTGTTGTACGCCTGTAGTCCCAGCTACTTGGGAGGCTGAGGCAGGACAATTGCTGGAGCCCAGGAGGCAGAGGTTGCAGTGAGCTGAGATCATGCCACTGCACTCCAGCCTGGGTGACAGAGCAAGACTCTGTCTAAAAAAAAAAAAAAAGTACAGAGACACAGAGACAGAGAGACACAGAGGGAGACAGAGACAGAGAGGCAGAGAGGGAGGCAGAGACAGAGAGACAGAGAGGGAGGCAGAGACAGAGAGACGGAGGCTCTTAGCAAGCTGCTGGTTTTCTCAGGGTTGGGGGCACGCAGTAATTATTTCGGGATATAAGGATTCATGGATAATTCTCTACATACTTACCTGGTGTATTAGTCTGTTCTCGCACTGCTAATAAAGATTAGTTAATTTATAAAGAAAGAAAAAATTTATAATTTTTTATATATAATAATTTTTTATATATAATAATTTATAATAAAGACTGGTTAATTTATAAAGAAAGAAAAAACAGTTTAATGGACTCACAGTTCCACATGGCTGGGGAGACCTCACAATCAAAACCCCGTGTTTTTCAGTAGAGACGGGGTTTCTCCACGTTGGCCAGCTGTTCTCGAACTCCTGACCTCAGGTGATCCACCCGCCTCGGGTTCCCAAAGTGCTGGGATTACAGGCATGAGCCACCGTGCCCAGCCCATAAATTCTTATTTTCAAAGAGTCTCATCGTCCATGGGTCTCATGCAGGCTAATTCGCCACATGTACTGGGTTGGTGCAACAGTCACTGCAGTTTTTCCCATTAAAAGGGGTGAAAGGAAAGTACTTTGGGCCCCTTCAAGCTGGGAGCTGCTTACGGCCAACCTGCCTCCCATTTTATTCAAAGTTACCCCTGTGCTCACTGAGACAGATGCCATATCTAGTTGCCTCCTTTGGAAAGGGTCATCAGACACTCAAAAGAATGTAGCCATTCAGGCGATCACTAAAAAGTCAGGAAACAACAGGTGCTGGAGAGGATGTGGAGAAATAGGAACGCTTTTGCACTGTTGGTGGGAGTGTAAACTAGTTCAACCATTGTGGAAGACAGTGTGGCCATTCCTCAAGGATCTAGAACCAGAAATACCATTTGACCCAGCCATCCCATGACTGGGTATATACCCAAAGGATTATAAATCATGCTACTATACAGAGACATGCACATGTATGTTTATTGCGGCACTGTCCACAATAGCAAAGACTTGGAACCAACCCAAATGTCCATCAATGATAGAATGGATTAAGAAAACGTGGCACATAGACACCATGGAATACTATGCAGCCATAAAAAAGGATGAATTCATGTCCTTTGTACCGACATGGATGAAGCTGGAAACCATCTTTCTGAGCAAACTATCGCAAGGACAGAAAACCAAACACTGCACGTTCTCACTCATAGATGGGAATTGAACAATGAGAACACTTGGACACAGAGTGGGGAACATCACACACCGGGGCCTGTCGTTGGGGGGGGGGGGATGGGGGAGGGAGAGCATTAGGAGATATACCTAATGTAAATGACGAGTTAATGGGTGCAGCAAACCAACATGGCACATGTATACCTATGTAACAAACCTGCACGTTGTGCACATGTACCCTAGAACTTATATATATATATATATATAAAATATATATATACACACACTAAATATATAATATATATATAAGAATGTAGTCATTCATCTCTCTGGACCTGGAATCCCCCTCCCTGCTTCCAGTCTCCATTCAAGCTGGGAGCTGCTTAGGGCCAACCTGCCTCCCACTTTATTCAAAGTTGCCCCTCTGCTCACTCAGATAGATGCAAATCTGATTGCCTCCTTTAGAAACGCTCATCAGAAACTCAAAATAACGCAGCCATTTGTCTCTTATCTATCTGTGATCTGGAAACCCCCTTCCCGCTTAGAGTCTTCCTGCCTTTGTTTGAACTCGTCCCACCTTCCCAGACTGAACCAATGTACTTCTTACATATGTTGATTGATGTCTCATGCCTTTCTAAAATGTATAAAACCAAGTTTTGCCCCAACCACCTTGGGTACATGTCATCGGGACCTCCTGAGGGTGTGTCACAGGTGCCCGTCGTCAACCCTGAAAAAATAAACTTTCTAAACTTACCGCCACCTGTCTGACGTTTTCAGGGTTCACAAAAGCAATGGCAAAAACCGCCATTACTTTTCATCAATCTGATGGAAGGGTCACATTAACGTGAGGACGAAGCTCTGTCTTTTTTTTTTTCTTTAATCTTGCCCAAATGCCTATCTAAGGGAGCTGGAAAGTCATGCCCTAGAAACCATTCATTCTCGTTTTATTTATTTGTTTTTGAGACAGAGTCTCTCTCTGTCACCCAGGCTGGAGTGCAGTGGCACAACCTCGGCTCACTGCAGCCTCCGCCTCCCAGGTTCAAGTGACAGGAGATAAAAGTGTGAACCACAAGGGCAGATCACCTGAGACTCTGTTACATGCGTGAGTTTTCAAAAACGTGTTAAAAATATAGCCGTCCAAAATGCACCTTCTTTTGGACTCTCCAAGTATTTATTTTAGCCTGGTGATGTTTCTTCTCTCCAGTGCTGTTCCGAAGGGGCCAGAAGGACTCAACTCCAACTGACTGCACTATTCTCAGTGCACCCAATCCCACAGCCCGGCACAATTGACATCGTTGCGTTGCGTGCTGACTGTAATCATGTGATTTTTGGTGGGAAATGCATAAATGCAGATGCTGAAAGTAAATACAGCTGTGTTTTCCTAGTGTGTCCCTGTTGAAAATAATTTTGGATAATTTGAGCGATTGTATTTCATCAACAATGTCATTAGCAACAGGTTGGAGGGTTTTTGAAAACACAATGAACCAGGCGGGGTGGCTCACGTCTGGAATCCCAGCACTTTGGGAGGCTGAGGTGGGTGGATCGCTTGAGGTCAGGGGTTTGAGAACAGCCTGGGCAACATGGGGAAACCCCATTTCTACTAAAAATACAAAAAAACTACCTCGGCATGGTGTAAAAATTATGGAGTAAAAATAATTCAAGTTGTGAAATACTCCGTATGATACAATTTATCTACAAAACTTACAAAAGCAATCTATGTTGCTATAAGCACTTATTAATAATTATATATATTATATATGTCTCACATGTACAGAAAAATATATACAGACGTATAGAGTTAGTAATATGTATTTATAGACACACATATCATATGCACAGTTTGAGTATATACACATCTACATGTACAAACACAGTTTGTACACACACACACACACACACACATAGACACACACATACACACACATCTCAAAATAGCATTTCCTGGGCAGGGTGGTGGGCACCTGTAATCCCAGCTACTCGGGAGGCTGAGGCAAGGGAATGGCTTGAACCCGGGAGGTGGAGGTTGCAGTGAGCTGAGATCATGCCACTGCACTCCAGTCTGGGCAACAGAGTGAGACTGTGTTTCAAAACAAACAAACAAAGAGACAGCCTCTTTTCGATGCAAAATAGAATAACACACGTCACCCATCCTGGAGCCCTAGATTTCCAAGTTAGTTGGTGTCTGGACCTCTGAGAGGGAAAACATCCAAAAACGATTTAGCCAGGCAGGCACGGGTGGCCCATGTCTGTAGTCCTAGCTACTTGGGAGGCTGAGGCAGGAGGATGACTCCAGCCTGGGCGAAACTGCAACAACACCCTGTCTCAAAAATAAATAAAGATTAATACAATAAAATGAAAACCGAATGAATGGAACAGAAACAGGGCCTCCTCTCTATGATTGTACGGCTGCATATTGAAGGGAGATGGGTCTTTTCCCATCTCCTAGGTGATGTTTGTTCACAGTTCATATAAGAGATTTACGGCTGGGCGCGGTGGCTCACGCCTGTAATCCCACCACTTTCGGAGACCTAGGCGGGCGGATCACGAGGTCAGGAGGTCGAGACCATCCTGGCTAACACGGTGAAACCCCATCTCTACTAAAAATACAAAAAATCAGCCGGGCGTGGTGGCGGGCGCCTGTAGTCCCAGCTACTTGGGAGGCCGAGGCAGGAGAATGGCGTGAACCTGGGAGGCGGAGCTTGCAGTGAGCCGATATTGTGCCACTGCACTCCAGCCTGGGTGACAGAGTGAGACTCTGTCTTAAAAAAAAAAAAAAAAAAAAAAGGGAGATTTATAAGGAAGTCACTAAAGGCTTTATTAATAATTATTATTAATGTGGTAAAAATCACATAACATAAAATCCACCCTAACTTTTTTTTGTAAGTGGTTTGGCAAATACACCTGCCACACAATTCCAAGAACCAGCAATTTGTCAGCAAGTCAGAATCAGACTATTCTTACTTCTGGCCTTGAGAGGCTGCTTCTCAGCACAGGCAAAGCTGGATATAAAGACAGAAGGGTACAGATAACCGGAGTGAGGAGTGGGACGATAAGGAGATAAGCTGTCCTCATTCGTCTAAACCTGAGTGTCATTGCGGAGTCAACCACCACGTGCTGTACGTAATCTGCTCCCTTTGTGGGGACGATGAGAAGTTTCTGGAACCAGCGTGAAGCAAGGACAATCCCCAGGGCAGAATGACTAAGCCACCAGGAATTCATTGTGGGGACGGTGAGAAGTTTCTGGAACCAGTGTGAAGCAAGGACAATCCCCAGGGCAGAATGACTAAGCCACCAGGAATTCATTGTGGGGGTGATGAGAAGTTTCTGGAACCAGTGTGAAGCAAGGACAATCCCCAGGGCAGAATGACTAAGCCACCAGGAATTCATTGTGGGGGTGATGAGAAGTTTCTGGAACCAGTGTGAAGCAAGGACAATCCCCAGGGCAGAATGACTAAGCCACCAGGAATTCATTGTGGGGACGGTGAGAAGTTTCTGGAACCAGTGTGAAGCAAGGACAATCCCCAGGGCAGAATGACTAAGCCACCAGGAATTCATTGTGGGGGTGATGAGAAGTTTCTGGAACCAGTGTGAAGCAAGGACAATCCCCAGGGCAGAATGACTAAGCCACCAGGAATTCATTGTGGGGACGGTGAGAAGTTTCTGGAACCAGTGTGAAGCAAGGACAATCCCCAGGGCAGAATGACTAAGCCACCAGGAATTCATTGTGGGGGCCGTGAGGAGTTTCTGGAACCAGTGTGAAGCAAGGACAATCCCCAGGGCAGAATGACTAAGCCACCAGGAATTCATTGTGGGGGTGATGAGAAGTTTCTGGAACCAGTGTGAAGCAAGGACAATCCCCAGGGCAGAATGACTAAGCCACCAGGAATTCATTGTGGGGACGGTGAGAAGTTTCTGGAACCAGTGTGAAGCAAGGACAATCCCCAGGGCAGAATGACTAAGCCACCAGGAATTCATTGTGGGGACGGTGAGAAGTTTCTGGAACCAGTGTGAAGCAAGGACAATCCCCAGGGCAGAATGACTAAGCCACCAGGAATTCATTGTGGGGGCCGTGAGGAGTTTCTGGAACCAGTGTGAAGCAAGGACAATCCCCAGGGCAGAATGACTAAGCCACCAGGAATTGAGCCTAACAAATATTTAAGTATACCCTACGGTATTGTTAAACGAACATACCTAGGACAGGTGCGGTGGCTCAAGCCTGTAATTCCAGCACTTTGGGAGGCCAAGGCGGGCGGATCACGAGGTCAGGAGTTCGAGACCAGCCTGGCCAACATGGTGAAACCCCGTGTCTACTAAAAATACAAAAATTAGCTGGGGTGGGCGGATCACCTGAGGTCAGCAGTTCGAGACCAGCCTGGCCAACTTGGCAAAACCCCATTTCTACTAAAAATACAAAAATTATCTGGCCGTGGTGGTGGGAGCCCATAGTCCCAGCTACTCGGGAGGCTGAGTCAGGAGAATCACTTGAACCCAGGAGGCAGAGGTTGCAGTGAGCAGAGATTGCACCACTGCACTCCAGCCTCGGTGACAGAGCGAGACTCCGCCTGAAAAAAAAAAAAAAAGTAAGCAGTGCTGCTGATTTCCACAATCAATATGACATTATTCTGACCCATGGGGAAACATGGCAGGAAACCTCATCCCGAAGCTTTTCCCAGGAACCACAGCCCTGAGCCATCTGAGAAGGACAGAGCCCTGGGAGGCAGGTACCTGAGGGTATCGTGCAAAGCAGCCCTGTTCAAAAGACCCGGATCCTGGGGACCAGGTAAGAACAGGTGTGTCCCAGAGCAGCCTCTGCCTCTCAACAATATCCAGCGTGCCAGGAGTCAGGGCCCCTGGGTGTCAGTGCGGACTCCTGTAACGTCAGTGACCTTCTAACCTCAAGCGGGTTACAGCCCATCCCTGGGTGTTAGCTTTTGGGGCTATGATGAGGGGACATGAGGAAGACTGTCTCAGGGGTCTCTGCATGCCTGCAGGGCTGGTTCCCTATAGATAGGTAATGGGCAATGGGGCCCTCACTGCTGGGCTGGGAGGAGAAGGGATTTATGGATATAACAACAAGGGACCGAGTGTCCTTGAAGCACAAATAGGACATTAAGAGGTGGTGGGAAGAGCGAGTGTCTCTCTAGCTTCAACCCTCTTCCTGTTTGCCCCGAGAATACTCACGGGCTGTACTTGTGGCAGCAGCATTTACTCTGAGATAACACTGCCACACGTATCTTTTGTTTTTTTTGAGATGGATCCTCGCTCTGTCACCCAGGCTGGAGTGCAATGGTTGTGATCTCGGCTCACTGCAACCTCCGCCTCCTGGGTTCAAGCAATTCACCTGCCTCAGCCTTCCGAGTAGCTGGGATTACAGGCGCCCGCCACCACGTCGGGCTAATTTTTGTATTTTTAGTAGAGATGGGGTTTCACCGTCTTGGCCAGGCTGGTCTTGAACTCCTGACCTCAGGTGATCCGTCCACCTCGGCTTCCCAAAGTGCTGGGATGACCACCGTGCTCAGCCTCAGTATCTCATTTTTATGATTATTTTCTCATCATTCTAATATGTCAACTTTGGAAACGGAAGACGTCATCCTATTTATACCATTCTGTCTTAATAGTGGTATTTCCATTTGAAATATAATCATTCTCGATCGCTGAAAATGTCGAATCCTAGAAAACATATCATTGCCGCATGTGATATTAACATCGTTCTACAACAGTTGTTGGCTGAAGGTTTGTTGGATGAATCCAATTTTTCCAAACCAGATGAGTCTGATGATTCAGGCGATTCTGATGTAACGTCTTTTTAGAAATAAATCCTAGAGCAGGTTTTATATTTTACGTTCATGTTGAAAATCAGTTAGATTTATGATGGAACATGTTTATGTAAAATTAAATGCGTGCTGGCCGAGAGACCTCAGTTTATTTTTCTAAATGAGAAACATCTCCAACTCACCTTCTCTCTCTAGGGTGCCTGTGTGATACCAGATGATGCTCAAGGCCCCCTGAGTCTCTTCCCCAATTTTAAGCCTGTCCCCAGCCCAGAGGTGTTGACGCCCTTTGCCATCATCTACCTTCTCAGCCTGTGGACGCACTTGGCTCACTCTTGCGTTCTGAGGACCTCCATGGTGCCTGATACACAGTAGGTGCCTAATCACTGTTTTCTGGAATGCTTCCATGAGCTCACCCCAGGCAGAGCAGGGCTCTGCCTTCCGCGGAGCTGCCTTCCCCAGCTCTGCGCTGGGCTCCAGGGCAAAGCAAATGGGTACACGAATTTGCAAATTTGCATTTCTGCATCTCCACCGTTCCATCGCCCCCGGAGTCTGACTCACACTTCTGCCGTATTCTCTTTCTCCGATCGTCTCCCTCATGCCTTTATTAGTCCACAGCAGTGTGCAGCAGGCTGCTGGATGCTGAAGAGATAAAGGATCGTGGCAAACAGAAGGGGTGCAAATCCTGAGTCCCAGTACCTACGAGTGAAACCCTGTTTGGAAACAATTTTTTTTTTTTTTTTGCAGGTGAAACTAACTTAAGATGAGATCATCCTGGATTAGGGTGGGTCCTAAATACAACGACAGATGTCCTTCTAAAAGACAGAAGAGGAGACACAGAGGATGAGGCCACATGGAGACGGAGGCAGAGACTGGAGTGATGCGGCCACAAGCCCAGGGATGCCTGGAGCCCCCAGGAGCTGGGAGAGGCAGGAAGGACCCTCCCCTAGAGCCTCTAGAGAAGGCTAAATGAAATTGTAATGAATTCAACTATTGTCCACCAGAAAGATATGTCCACACCCTCACCCCCAGAACTTGTGAATGGGAGCTTACTTTGAAATAAGATCCTTGCAGATGCAAGTAGTAAAATATTTTAAGATGAGATCATCCTGCATTAGATGGACCATGAATCCAATCATTGCTGTCTCTATAACAGACAGAGGAGGAGAACAGACACAGAGGGTAAGGCCGCATGGAGATGGAGGCAGAGACTGGAGTGATGTGGCCACAAGCACAGGGACACCTGGAGCCCCCAGGAGCTGGGAGAGGCAGGAAGGACCCTCCCTGAGAGCCTCTGGAGGGAACTGGATACAAGTGAAGTAGATTGAACTGTGATCCCCCAAAAAGGTATGTCCATGTCCTGATCCTCAGAATCTGTGACTGAGACCTTATTTGAAAAAGGGGTGTTTGCAGATGTAACTAAATAAAGGACCTTAAGATGAGATCATCCTGAATTATCTGTGTGGTCCCTAAATCAATGACAGATGTCCTTCTAAGAGACAGAAAGGAGACAGACACAGAGGAGAAGGCCATGTGGAGACAGAGGCAGAGACTAAAGTGACGCACCCACAAGCCCAGGGACACCTGGAGCCCCCAGGAGCTGGCAGAGGCAGAAAGGACCCTCCCCTAGAGTCTCTGGAGGGAGCATGTCCTTGAGATACCTTGATCTGAGACTACCAGCTTCCAGGACTGGGAGAGCATAGATTCTTGTAGTGTTAGCCACCGAATTTATGGCATTTTTTTGCAGGAACCCCAGGAAGCTCCTGAAGCAATCCGCCCTTCCATCTCTGTGTCTGGCAGACACTACTGTGTGATTCCAGCGGGACAGCACCCACCGCACTCACCTTCATTGCTCAGGGGGAAGGAACAGTCAGTCAGCTGTGAGTCACCAGAAGCCAAGAGCTTTCTCAATTTAGTTGTATCAGCTCTTCCCGGCAGCGTGTGGATTTCCTGCAAAAGTGGCCTCATGATTTACTTAGGGAAACAGCTCCAAGGATGGGAGACGGCTGCTCTCCACAATTTCCCTCCTGCAGCTAGGAAGGAAGTCAGGACTGTTCTGTGGGGTAAGTGAGATCAATAGCGTGCTTTCTTTTGTTTTGAGATGGAATCTCGCTCTGTCACCCAGGCTGGAGTGCAGTGGCTCCATCTTGGGTCACTGCAATCTTCACCTCCTGGGTTCAAGCGATTCTCCTGCCTCAGCCTTTTGAGTAGCTGGGATCACAGGTGTACTGATGATTAATAAAGAAAAATAGAATTAAATTGATGATGCTGAGAAGATATTTTTAAAAAAGACTGATTGTATTCTGTTTACATGATATGCATGTAAAACAAAATCACACAAACTAATTAAAAACAAAACAAGAGGCCAGGCACGGTGGCTCACGCCTGGAATCCCAGTACTTTGAGAGGCCGAGGTGGACAGATCACCTGAGATCAGGAGATCGAGACCATCCTGGCCAACATGGTGAAACCCCGTCTCTACTAAAAATACAAAAATTAGCCAGGCATGGTGGTGGGTGCCTGTAATCCCAGCTACTCGGGAGGCTGAGGCAGGAGAATTGCTTGAACCCGGGAGGCGAAGGTTGCAGTGAGCTGAGATTGCACCACTGCACTCCAGCCTGGGTGACAGAGCGAGACTCTCTCTCAAAAAAAAAAAAAAAAAGAAAAGAAATGGAAATATCGGGCAAGAACTAGTCAACATCCTGCCAATGAAGTAACATTCGTGTGTGGTGCAAGAGTGTTTAGGGAGAAAAGCTTGCAACAATGTATTCTACAACAGTAAAAGTAAAACTGTTTGAGGATGATGTAAGAGGTCAGTGTTCAATTCCCTGTACCATCATTAAACAGAAATGTGTGAAGAACCACAGAATCAACCAGGTCAACTTGTTCAACGTATTGAGATTGCAAATATATTATGGAGTAAAAATAATTCAAGTTGCGAAATACTCCATATGATACAATTTATCTACAAAACTTACAAAAGCAATCTATGTTGCTATAAGCACTTATTAATAATTATATATGTTATATATGTCTCACATGTACAGAAAAATATATACAGACGTATAGAGTTAGTAATATGTATTTGTAGACACACATATCATATGCGCAGTTTGAGTGTATACACATCTATGTGTACAAACTGTGTGTGTACACACGCACACACATGCACACACATCTCAAAATAGCATTTCCTACTGAATGACGACATTGTCTGGTGACAAAAAAAGAGGTGCTTAACTTTATATAATATTACACATTTCAAAGTTGGATATGTTCACAAATTACTTACATAAATAATAATATTACAGAATAAACAATTCCCTAATAATTATTATATTTTTTTGAGACAAAAAAATTAGCCAGCTGTGGTAGTGCATGCCTGTAATTCCAGCTACTCGGGCGGCTGAGGCAGGAGAATGGCTTGAACCCGGGAGGCAGAGGTTGCAGTGAGCCAGGATGGCGCCACCGTACTCCAGCCTGGGCAACAAGAGGGAAACTCCACCTCAAAAAAAAAAAAGGTAAAGGCACAAACAACAGTCAATGGAATATATTCGGACAAGTATCCTCTCAAAAATCAACACCATGCTGAGGTCACATTTTTGTGATTTGTATTTGAATTGGAAAACAGTGACTACATCCTTTTAGCCCAAATCATGCTGAAAGCAGTATTTACAACTTACTGCACACAGTGTTGCTAACCAAATACCATACTGAACACTAAATCAATCGTTAGTCACGATGCTGAACTAACTGTAATGGATAACAAGTAATCGGGATGCCATAATTGCATCTATCCCGACTATGTACGAAACCCACAACGCCCTGATAACAGCCCCTTTTCCCCAAACTGTGGGAATTTCAGTTGCTTTCAGATCCAGCTGAACTTCATGAGATTCGCCAAGCAGTGCTTTGGAGCAGGAGTTGTTAGTAAAATAACAAGTAGGGATCTTTAGGAAAACTCTAAAAATTTGCTCATTTACACTCTGTGGATTGTATTTTCACAACAGGCTACTAGGAAACAGCCCTTAATCCGAAGTGGAATCTAACATCTGGGAAATCAGCCGTATTTGCCTGTGAGAAAGAAAGGGAGAAGCCATATTTACATCAGCCCATGGTCCAAGGTCAGACAAGAGTCCCTTGCTTCTCTATGAAGCCTCAAATTTTCTCTTTCTTTTTATTTCTCTGTTTCTTTCGCCATCCCTTCCTTCCCTTCCCTTCCCTCCTTGCCTCCCTTCCTTCCTTCCTTCCTTCATTCCTTCATTCCTTCCTTCCTTCTCTCGCTCCTTCCTTCCTTCTCTTGCTCTGTCCTTCCTTCCTTCTCTCGCTCCTTCCTTCCTTCTCTCGCTCCTTCCTTCCTTCTCTTGCTCTGTCCTTCCTTCCTTCTCTCGCTCCTTCCTTCCTTCTCTCGCTCCTTCCTTCCTTCTCTTGCTCTGTCCTTCCTTCCTTCTCTCGCTCCTTCCTTCCTTCTCTTGCTCTGTCCTTCCTTCCTTCTCTCGCTCCTTCCTTCCTTCTCTCGCTCCTTCCTTCCTTCCTTCCCTCCCTTCCTCCTTCCCTCCCTCCCTCCTTCACTCCTTCTTTCCTTCCTTCCTTCCTCTTATTTTCCTTCTTTCCTTCCTTCCTTTTATGTTTCCTCTTTTCCTTCCTTCCCTCTTTTTCTTTTCCTTCTTTCCTTCCTTCCTTTTATGTTTCCTCTCTTCCTTCCTTCCCTCTTTTCCTTTTCTTTCCTTCCTTCCTTTTCTTTTCCTTCCTCTTTTGCTTTTCCTTCTTTCCTTCCTTCCTTTTTTGTTTCCTCTTTTCCTTCCTTCTTTCCTTTTCTCTTTTTCTTTACCTTCCTTCCTTTTTTCTTTTGTCTCTTCCTTCCTTCTTTCCTTCTTTCCTTCCTTCTTTCCCTCCTTCCCTCCTTCCCTCCTTCCTTTCTTTCTTTTCTTTTCTCTTTCTTTCTTTCTTGCTTTCTTTCTTTCTTTCCTTCCTTCTTTCTTCTTTTTCTTTCTTTTTCCCTTCTTTCTTTCTGTTTCTTTCGCTCCTCCCCCATCCTCCTCCTTCCCTCCCTACCCCCTCTTTCACTCTTGCTTGCTTTCTTTCTTGCTTGCTTTCTGAGACCTCTTTCCACATGTGATGAAAGCTCAGAACCCTCCATCTAGACATGGTGCAGACATACTCATACGTGCAAAGTTTTGCACCTAATTTCAGATGATTCATGAGGCCCCCAGCCCCTTTCCTGGACCCTATATTCCAGAATAAAATTTACCTTCTACCTTTCACACAATTTCTTCCGTGACCTAGGAATTCGACAGCGAAGACCCAAGATACTTCCAAGAGAAAGGCACGGTCCATTGAAGATTCTTTACAACCTCGGAAAGGTAAAGAGAGTCTTTATTTATTGAAGATGAAGATCCCTGAGTATTATTTTTTATGGCACCTCCGTGGGCTATGATGGATGACCCTGAGGGTCTCTCCAGCCCTGAAGTGAGACGGATTTTTCTACTGAACCACGGCAACACTGAATAGGAGGTTGTCTCTTACCTCTGTCTGTTGATTTTCACTGTTTCCTTTCTCTTTGTGTTTTAAAATTTTTATCTTTTGTGGGTACATGGTAGGTGTATATATTTATGTATATGTTGTGTGGATATATAGTAGGTGTATATATTTAGGGTGCGTGAGATTTTATTATTATTATTATTATGCTTTAAGTTCTGGGGTACATGGGCAAAACGTGCAGGTTTGTTACACAGGTATACATGTGCCATGGTGGTTTGCTGCACCCATCAACCTGTCATCTACATTAGGTATTTCTCCTAATGCTCTCCCTCCCCTATCCCCCCACCCCCCGGCAGGCCCTGGTGTGTGATGTTCCCCTCCCTGTGTCCATGTGTTCTCATTGTTCAACTCCCATTTTTCACACCCAGACTGGGTGTGTCTGCGAGGGTGTTTTGGGAAGAGATGAGCATTTCAATAGGTAGACTGAGTAAAGACCACCCTCACCAATGGGGATGGGTACTGTCCTCTCCACTGAGGGATTTGCAGAGAATGAAAATGCAGATGAAGGGAGACTATATTCTCTTTTCCTTACCTGGAACCGGGACCTCCAGCTTCTCATGCTCTTGGACATTGGTGCTCCCAGTGTTTGGGCCTTGACCTCCGTTTTTGTATACATCAGATATCACACACAGTCAACATGGCATAATTCATGTTCAATGCACCGTGCAGAGAGGATGTTTTGATACAAGCATGCAATGCTTCATAATCACATCATGGAGAATGGAGCTTGCATGCCCTCAAGCATTTATCCTTTGTGTTACAAACAATCCAATTATACTCTAATATGATTTGGCTGTGTCCCTACTCAAATCTCATCTTGAATTGTATCTCCCATGATTCCCATGTATTGTGGTGTCCCCAACCAAATCTCATCTTGAATTGTATCTCCCATGATTCCCATGTATTGTGGTGTCCCCAACCAAATCTCATCTTGAATTGTATCTCCCATGATTCCCATGTATTGTGGTGTCCCCAACCAAATCTCATCTTGAATTGCATCTCCCATGATTCCCATGTGTTGTGGTGTCCCCACCCAAATCTCATCTTGAATTGTAGCTCCCATGATTCCCATGTGTTGTGGGAGGGACTGGGTGGGAGATAAATGAATCATGGGGCTGGTTTCCCCCAGACTGTCCTGGAGGTCGTGAATAAGTCTCATGAGATCTGATGGTTTTATCAGGGGAAACTGCTTTCACTGGGCTCTCATTGTCTTCTGCCTGCCACCGTGTAAGATGTGCCTTTCTCCTTCCACCATGACTGTGAGGCCTCCTCAGCCATGTGGAACTGTGAGTCCATGGAACCTCATTTTCTTTATAAATTTCCCAGTCTCGGGTATGTCTCTTTTTTTAAATAAATTACCCAATCTAGGGTATGCTTTTTTTTTTTTTTTTTTTTTTTTTTTTGAGACCAAGTCTTACTCTGTTGCCCAGCCTGGACTGCAGTGGTGCAATCTCAGCTCACTGCCACCTCTGCCACCCATGTTCAAGTGATTCTCCAGCCTCAGCCTCCTGATTAGCTGGGATAACAGGCATGGGCCACCACGCCTGGCTAAGTTTTGTATTTTTAGTAGAGATGGGGTTTCACCATGTTGGCCAGGCTGGTCTCAAACTCCTGACCTCAGGTGATCTGCCCACCTCAGCCTCCCAAGGTGCTGGGATTACAGGCGTGAGCCACCGCACCCGGCTTTGGGTATGTCTTTATCAGCAGCATGAAAACGGACTAATACATACTCTTTTAGTTATCTTAAAATGTGCAATTAAATTATTTTGACGATAGTCACCCTGTTGTACTATCGAATACTAGGTATGAATAATTACATCATGGAGAATGGAATTCTTTTTCTATTTTATTTTATCTTTTTCTATTTTCTTTTCGATGAAATGAAGCCTCAGATGAGTGTCCGACTGTGATAAGCTCTTCCGTGCCATTTTCAAACTCTCTTGTCCTGTCTTTCACTCTTTAGGCAACATGTTCTCTTCTTTGTTTTCAAACTACACTCTCAATACTGTCAAACCAGGAAAAAAAAGAGAAAAGCATCTTTTAGTGAACAATTGGGTGAATTTGGGTAATTTAGCCACCCATACCAGGTGGCATTATTCATATTCAGAACACTATTTTTTTTTTTAGATGGAGTCTCACTCTGTTGCCCAGGCTGGAGTGCAGTGGCGCCTTCTTGGCTTACTGCAACCTCTGCCTCCCAGGTTCAAGCAAAACACGATTTTTTTTTTTTTTTTTGTATAGAAGAAATGTCACACTCACATTGCATCTTTGAGCCAACCTGCATTTTCTCCTCTGCAAGACTGACCTCCGGAGAAAAAGGGAAGTGCAGATATAAGTGGTGTTCACCTGAACAGAATTAGGGGCAGCTAATCCCGACCTCACATCTATTGTCACCGTTACACAAATCAAAACAGAAGCGAGAGGAATGTGACAAACAGAGCATGGAGGAGAAGAACCCTGGCTGGAGAAGCAAAGGGCAGATTCAGTGAATGAGACTGACAGAAGAAAAGCCGAGGATGAAATGAAAGACTCCAGGGTGGCAGCTATGGAAAAAAAAAAAAAAAATACAGACAGAGGGCACTGAGAAACAGAAACAAAGAAGAAAGGGAGAAAATTAAAGTTTATTTGTAAAAGTGTGTTTACTGGCCGGGCGCAGTGGCCCACGCCTGTCATCCCAGAACTTTGGGAGGCTGAGGCGGGTGGATCACAAGGTCAAGAGATCGAAACCAGCCTGGACAACATGGTAAAACCCCATCTCTACTAAAAATGCAAAAATTAGTCAGGCATGGTGGCGTGCGCCTGTAATCCCAGCTACTCAGGAGGCTGACGCAGGAGAATCACTTGAGCTCGGGAGGCGGAGGTTGCAGTGAGCCGAGATCGCGCCACTGCACCCCAGCCTGGCAAAAAAGCGAGACTCCTTCTAAAAAAAAAAAAGTGTGTTTACTATTTCTTCCTGGGGCAAAGGATGCTTGGCGATGTGGGAGCTTCCTGAATATGAAGACAGGGATGTACAGTTTGCAGATACCTGTAGCTATGACTGTTAACATGTCTAGTGAAACGGCTCAGGTTAGCACGGTGATGATATAAGCTTCACCGTGAGCCCACAAGGTGGCATGTTGTATGGGGCCCAGGCCTGCCTTTAGGAGACTGTATTTGTCAGTTCTCAGCCTGTTATAAAGAAATACCTGGCCGGGCGCGGTGGCTCACACCTGTAATCCCAGCACTTTGGGAGGTCAAGGCGGGTGGATCACCTGAGGTCAGGAGTTCGAGACCAGCCTGTCCAACATGGTGAAGCCCTGTCTCTACTAAAAATATAAAAATTAGCTGAGCATGGTCACAGATGCCTGTAATCCCAGCTACTCAGGAGGCTGAGGCAGGAGAATTGCTTGAACCCAGCAGGTGGAGGTTGCAGTGAGCTGAGATAGCACCACTGCACTCCACTCTGGTCAACAAAGAGCGAAACTCCGTCTCAAAAAAAAAAAAATTTCCACAAAAAAATGTTAAAATTAGTGGGGCATGGTAGTGCATGACAGCAGTCCTAGTTACTCAGGAGGCTGAGATAGGAGGATTACTTGAATCTGCAAGGTTGAGGCTGCAGTGGGCTGTGATTGTAGCACTGCACTCCAGCCCGGGTGACAGAATGAAGTCTTGTCTCAAAACAACAACATAAACAAAAACAGAAATAAGGACAGAGGGCCGGATGTGGTGGCTCACGCCTGTAATCCCAGCACTTTGGGAGGCCGATGCCTGCGGATCACCTGAGGTCAGGCGTTCAAGACCAGCCTGACCAACATGGTGAAACCTCGTCTCTACTAAAAAATACAAAAATTAGCTAGGCATGGTGGTGCATGCCTGTACTACCCTCCAGCTACTCAGGAGGCTATGGTGGGAGAATTGCTTGAACCTGGGAGGGAGAGGTTGCAGTGAGCCGAGATCATACCACTGCATTTCAGCCTGGACGACAGAGCAAGACTCGGTTTCAAAAAAGACATAAGGGCAGAGTTTGCATCTACTGTGAGAAGGGTAATTAGGCCAGTTACTAACAGGTATTCTGCTTTTTAATTAATTAAGTAATTAATTGACTAATAATTAGTTGAATTAATTAATTGACTAATTTATTGAGATTCCAGCTCTGTCGCCCAGGCTGAAGTACAGTGGCGCGATCTCAGCTCACTGCAGCCTCTGCCTCCTGGGTTCCAGCAATTATCATGTCTCAGCCTCTCAAGTAGCTGGGATTACAGGAGCGCCCCACCATGCCTGGCTAATTTTTGTATTTTTAGTGGAGACAACGTTTGACCGTGTTGGCCAGGCTGGTCTCGAACTCCTGACCTCAGGTTACCCACCTGCCACGGCTTCTGAAAGTGCCGGGATAACAGGCGTGGGCCGTGATGGCTGGCCAGTAGCTGTTCTGCTTTGAAAAGGAGAGTGAGGATTCACTTAATGAGAATTTTCACTGGTGCAAGAATGAAACAGGAAAAACAAAGAAATAAACAGACAAAAACGGGAGCTAGGGTTGACCTTAAAGCAAGCAGAAAAACAGAAACACACGTGATACAGGTGTGCCAATGACGTGCCTGGAGATTTATGTCAAAGGGAGAGAAAATACAAAAAGAGCTAAAGGCCAGGTGCCATGGCTCACGCCTGTAATCCCAGTACTTTGGGAGGCACGAGGTTGGGAGTTGGAGACCAGCCTGGCCAACATGGTGAAACCCCGTCTCTACTAAAGATACAAAAAATTAGCTGGGCGCGGTGGTGGACGCCTGTAATCCCAGGTACTCTGGAGGCTGAGGCAGGAGAATCGCTTGAACCTGGGAGGCGGAGGTTGCAGTGAGCCGAGATGACACCACTGCACTCCAGCCTGGGCAACAAGAGTGAAACTCCGTCTCAAAAAAACAAACAAACAACAACAACAACAAAATCTGAGAGGTTTTTAATGGTGGTAAAATACACAAAACACACAATTTACCATTTTAACCATTTTATACTGAACAATTCAGTGGCATTTACTGCGTTCATGATGTTGTGGGATCACCCCCTGTATCCAGTTCCACAACATTTCTGGCACCCCCAGAGGAGAACCCATTCCCATTTGCAGGCACCCCCCTTCCCCTCACCCCTCAGCCCCTGGAAATGACCCAAATGTCCAACAGTGGATGACTGGATACTCACAATGTGGTTTATCTGTACCGTGGAATATTATGCAGCCATGAAAAGGAATCGAGCTCTGATATGTGATTCAGCCCAGATAAGCATCGTTCCATTTCACTCTGCAGGTCACAGGGCAGGTTAAAGAAACACGTTGTTGTTAGATGACAATAAAAGGGATACTCGGCCGAGCACGGTGGCTCATGCTCGTAATCCCAGCACTTTGGGAGGCTGAGGCAGGCCGATCACAAGGTCAACAGATGGAGACCATCCTGGCCAACACTGTGAAACCCTGTGTCTACTAAAAATACAAACACAAAAAAATTAGCTGGGCATGGTGGCATGCACCTGTAATCCCATCTACTCAGGAGGCTGAGGCAGGAGGATCTCTTGAACCCCAAAGGCAGAGGTTGTAGTGAGCCAAGATTGCACCACTGCACTCCAGGCTGGTGACAGAGCCAGACTCATCGCAAAAAAAAAAAAAAAAAAAAAAAAAAAGATACTTGTGATTACAAAGGATAACTAACTATAGACAGTGTTTGTAGGCATTCAGCTAAGCACCTGTTGCATGCATCCTTCCAGGTATTATCTCTTAATTCTTACAGCAAACTTTGCAGGTGTACGCTACCATCATCCCGGCCAGCCCACGGCCACGTTGTCACCAACAACTGACTTCACCTGCAAGCAGGCCCCTCCCAGATGCATCAGAATCTCAACCCTGAATTCTTAAAAGCTGCACGACAGTGTCTCTCTCCCTGTGTCCTCACTTTGAGGAGACAAGACAGAGCTATGCAGAGAAGTGAACGGTGTTAGTGACGGACGGTTCTGGGTTTTGATCCCATCTCATTTCACGTTCCCTTTGCCGTGGGTATCTCAGTATCTCACAGCCTGATCTGCTGAGTTACCCTGACGTCGGTGGCTCAGAAAATAGAGAGAGATAAGAACAGAGATAAGAAAGTAAAAGGATGTAGAGAGATGGACCTAATAGAATTCAGAAGCTGCTCTCAAGAGGAGAATAAAGATTTGGGGATATGGATTGCCAGACAGTGCATAGTGTGGTGGTTTCTGTTGAGGGCTGGGTATGAGAGAAAAGTGGAGAGAAGGAGAGGAAGAGAGAGAGGGAAGAAGGGCCATGGAGAAGACAGAGGAGAGAGAGAAAAAAAAAGGAGAGAGGAAGAGAAACGGAGAGATGGAGAGTGGGGTAGAGAGGGTGGAAGAAAGAGAGAGGGTGAGAGGGGGAAGAGGGAGATTTTGAGAGAGAGAGAGAGGGAGAGGAGGGAAAAAGAGAGAGAGGAAACAGATACTGAGAAAGAGAGAGTCAGAAAGGAGAGGGAAAGAGAGAGAGAAAGGAGAGGGAAAGAGAGAGAGAAAGGAGACTGAGAAAGGAGAGGGAAAGAGAGAGAGAAAGGAGACTGAGAAAGGAGAGGGAAAGAGAGAGAGAAAGGAGACTGAGAAAGGAGAGAGAAAGGAGAGAGAGAGGGAGTGGGGGAAAGACAGAAGAGAAATACTGAGAGAGTGAAAAAGGAGAAGGAAAGAGAGACAAAGAGGGAGAAAAGAGGGGCTGGGCGTGGAGGCTCACACCTGTAATCCTATCACTTTGGGAGGCCGAGGTGGGAGGATTGCTTGAGGTCAGGAGTTCGAGACCAGCCTGGTCAACATGGCAAAACCCCATCTCTACTAAAAATACAAAAATTAGCTGGGCGTGGTGGCTCGCACCTGTAATCCCAGCTACTCGGGAGACTGAGATAGGAGAATCACTTGAACCCGGGAGGCAGAGGTTTCAGTGAACTGAGATTGCACCACGGCATTCCGCTCTGAGTGGCAGAGTGAGACTCCATCTCGTGATCTCACGGAGGCAGAAAATGGAAGGTTACACCTATATCGATTGTTTCACCAGCTTCTGTGAATTGAGCTGGGCCGAATCATCAAATTGAGGTTAAAACAGTCTCGTACTCACAATATACAAAGAACTGAAACAGCTACAACAACAAACAACACTATTAAGATGTGGGCAGGCCGGGCGCGGTGGTTCACAACTGTAATCCCAGCTCTTTAGGAGGCCAAGGCGGGCAGATCCTGAGGTCAGGAGATCGAGACCATCCTGACCAACATGGTGAAACCTCATCTTTACTAAAACACAAAAAAATTATCCAGGTGTGGTGGCTCATGCCTGTAGTTCCAGCTTCTTGGGAGGCAGAGGCAGGAGAATTGCTTGAACCCGGGAGGAGGAGGTTGCAGTGAGCCAAGATCGCGCCACTGCGCTCCAGCCTGGGCAACAGGGCCAGACTCTGTCTTAAAAAAAAAAAAAAAAAAATTTTGCCGGATGTGCTGGTACATGCCTGGTAGTCCCAGCTACTCAAGAGGCTGAAGTGGAAGGATTGCTTGAGTGCAGGAGTTTGAGGCTGCAGTTAGCTGTGATCACACCACCGCACTCCAGCCTGGGTGACAGAGGTAGACCCTATCACAAATAAACAAACAAACAAACGAATGAATGAAAGGGCAGATGTGAAAAAATCACATCTCCTCTGAAGACAGGACGTTGAAGCAGTCAGACTATATTTACCGTTTATATTTCCATTCACCTTTAAGGATATCAAATTCAAAGCCAGTTCTCCCCTACAAATATTCATGACAGGCTGGGCACAGTGTTTCACGCCTGTCATTCCAGCACTTTGGGAGGCCGAGGTGGGCGGATCACCTGAGGTCGGGACTTAGAGACCAGCCTGACCAACATGGAGAAATCCCATCTCTACTAAAAATACAATTAGCCAGGTGTGGTGGCGCATGCCTGTAATCCCAGCTACTCAGGCAGCTGAGGCAGGAGAATCGCTTGAACCCGGGAGGCGGAGGTTGCACTGAGCCAACATCACACCACTGCACTCCAGCCTGGGCAACAAGAGTGAAACTCCATCTCAAAAAAAAAAAAAAATATTCATGACGATGTCTGCAAAAATACAGAGATACATACCTTTGGCTGTGACATTGTCTATAAGGACAAATGTCTGAGACTAGCAGGGCACCCATCTACAAGGAATGGGTTAAATATTACACAGTACATTTATGTAACGGAATAGTATGCAGTCAAGAAAAAGGAAAAGAACTACGCATTTCCGTATACAAAACCATGAAGCAATCTTCAGTGCATTGGAAATGAAAAACAAGCTGTAGAATGATGGGTGCAGGATGTCCATGTTTTCCTTTTAAATATATATATGCTTGTAAATGAATAGAGCATCATAGGAAAGATAAGACTTTGGAAAATGAGGCCCTGGCCAGGCGCAGTGGCTCAGGCCTGTAATCCCGGCACTTTGAGAGGCTGAGGCAAGCAGATCACGAGGTCAGGAGTTCGAGACCGGCCTGGCCAATATGGTGAAACCCTGTCTCTACTAAAAATACAAAAATTAGCCGGGCATTGTGGCAGGTGCCTGTAGTCCCAGCTACGCGGGAGGCTGAGGCAGGAGAATCTCTTGAACCCGGGAGGCGGAGGTTGCGGTGACCCAAGATCGTGCCACTGCACTCCAGCCTGGGTGACAGAGCCAGACTCTGCCTGAGAAAAAAGAAAAAGAAAAATGTGTGCATTTTCAAAATACATGAATAGATATGTCTATTTTCACAGTTAGGGTGACCTCACGGAGGCAGAAAATGGAAAGTTACACCCGTGTCGACTGTTTCACCAGCTTCTGTGAATTGAGCCGGGACGAATCATCACGTTGAGGTTAAAACAGTCTCCTACTCACAATATACAAAGAACTGAAACAGCAACAACAACAACAAACAAATAACACTATTAAGATGTGGGCAGGCCGGGCGCGGTGGCTCACAACTGTAATCCCAGCACTTTGAGAGGCCAAGGCGGGCAGATCCTGAGTTCAGGAGATCAAGACCATCCTGACCAACATGGTGAAACCCCATCTTTACTAAAACACAAAAAATTATCCAGGTGTGGTGGCTCGTGCCTATAGTTCCTGCTATTTGGGAGGCTGAGGCAGGGGAATCGCTTGAACCCAGGAAGTGGAGGTTGCAGTGAGCCAAGATGGAGCCACTGCACTCCAGCCTGGAGATAGAGCAAGACTCTGTCTCAAAAAAAAAAAAAAAAAGCAAAAAGAAAGTTACATTGGTTTTTAATCTACCATCCGTTTTTGTGGGTGACAGAAACATGATTTGTTTGCAGCGGAGTGGGGCTCCCTTCTTTGTTCCTGATCTCAGAGGAAAGATCTTGGTCAGTCTTCCATCCTATGAGTTACAGTTAGCTGTGGGTTTTCTGTCGATCCCACTATAGGGTTAAGCAGACTTGGCTCAGCATTTTTATTTCCAAGTTGATTTTCATTTTTGTCAAGTACTTCTGCTGCATGTTTTGAAAAGATTGTACACATTTTTCTCTTTAGTGGCTTGATTGAGCTAATTACATTGATTTTTCGATGTTAAAAAACAGCCCTTCTTGTGTTCATAAAATAAACCTCACAGGGTCATGGTGCCATATATCCAGACGGTGTTTTCCTTGATTTGTTGATACGCTGTTGAGAATTTCTGCTTCTGGGTGAATGACGAATATCTGTCTGTGGTTTTCTTGTCTGACATTTTTCCTCTTTATGTTGGTATTGTGGTAACAATGTTGGCTTCATACAATGGGTTGGAAAATGCTGTGTTCTTCTATTTTAGGAAGTGTTTGGGTAAAATTAGGTATCTTCCTCCAATAACTGTTTAATGGAATTGGCCAGTGAAGACCTCTGCAGAGTTTTCTGTGTTGGAAGGTGTTAACTAAGAATTCATTTATTTGGGCGGGCATGGTGGCTCTTGCCTGTCATCCCAGCACTTTGGGAGGCCAAGGCAGGTGAATCACGAGGTCAAGAGATCGAGACCATCCTGGCCAACATGGTGAAACCCCATCTTTACTAAAATACAAAAATTAATTGGGTGTGGTGGTGTGTGCCTGTAGTTTCAGCTATTTGGGAGGCTGAGGCAGGAGAATTGCTTGAACCCAGGAGGCGGAGGTTGCAGTGAGCTGAGATCATACCACAGCACTCCAGCCTAGCGACAGGGCGAGATTCAGTCTCAAAATAATTTTTTTTTTTTTGGTAGACATAGAACTATTCAGGTTATCGGTTTCTTCTTGAGTTAGGTTTGGTAGTGTGTGTCTCTCTAGGACTTTGCCTTTACATCAATGCTACCAATTTTATGTGCATAAAATCATTTGTAGTATCCTTTCATTATCCTTTTAGTATCAATAGGGGCTACAGGGATGTCCCTCTTGCATCCCTGATACTAGTGACGTTTATGGTTTATTTTTATGTTTTTCTTTCTGGTGAAAGCTCCATCCATATGTTTGATCCCTTCCATGAATCTGATTTTAGATTTATTCATTTTTTCATATTTTTTTTTCTGTTTCTAATTATATCTTTATTATTTCTTTTCTTCTGCCTGACTTGGCTAAACTTTTCTCTTCTTTTAATAATTTTTTTAAGGATAGGACATCAGATAATTGATTGCAGACATTTTTCTAAAAAAAAAGTAAGCATATTATCTAATAAGTATTAGAATATATTATAGAATATAAGCATTATATTATGTATATGCAATAAATTTTTTCAAAGTACTCCTGTACCTGTTTTTTTTTTTTTTTTTGAGATGGAGTTATGCTCTGTCGCCCAGGCTGGAGTGCAGTGGCTTGATCTCAACTCACTGCAACCTCTGCCTCTTGACTCACTGCAACCTCCACCTCCCGGGTTCAAGCGATTCTCCTGCCTCAGCTTCCCAAGTAGCTGGGACTACAGGCACCAAGCACCACGCCCTGCTAATTTTTGTATTTTTAATAGAGATAGGGTTTCACCATGTTGGCCAGGCTGGTGTCAAACTCCTCACCTAAAATGATCCACCGCCTCTTTGGCCTCCTGAAGTGCTGGGATTACAGGTATGAGCCACCGCGCCAGGCCCCATGTTTCTCGATTTTTGATACATTGATAATTTCATTTTCATTCAATTAAAAGTATTTCAAAATTTCCCTTCTTGCTTCTCCTCTGACCCATGAGTCATTTAGCTGATAACTTTTTAGTGTCCAAATATGTGGGCATTTTCCAGATATCTTCCTGCTGTTGATTAATGGTTTCATTATTTATAGGACTGTAGCAAGTATTATTTTAATTGTTTTAAATTCGTTAAGGTTTGTTTTACAGCTTAGAATATGTTGTATCTCTGTGGCATTCGCTGGGTACTTAAACTTCGTGCATTTTCTGCTGTCGCTTGGTGGAATGTTCTAGAAATGTCCATTGAGTCATTGATTGATTGGTTGATTGATAGTATTATTATTATTATTATTATTTTGAGACAGAGCCTCTCTCTGTCCCCCAGGCTGGAGTCCAGTGGTATGACCTCAGCCCACCACAACCTCCACCTCCCAGGTTCAAACGATTCTCGTGCCTCAGTCTCCCGAGTAGCTGGGATTACAGGTGCCCGCCAGTACGACCAGCTAATTTTTAGTAGAGAGGGGATTTCACCAGATTGGCCAGGTGGGTCTCGAACTCCTGGCCTCGAGTGATCCACCCGCCTCCGCCTCCTAAAGTGCTGGGATTACAGGTGTGAGTCACCATGCACAGGTGATAGTACTATTATTACTACTACAATTATTATTTTCAGACAGGGCCTTGCTCTGTCGCCCAGGCTGGAGTGCAGTGCTGTGATCTCGGCTCACTGCAACCTCCACTTCCCAGGCTCAAGGATCCTCCCACCTCAGCCTCCCGAGTAGCTGGAACTATAGGTGTGCACCGCCATAGCCACCTAATTCTTGTATTTTTTGTAGAGATAGAGTTTTGCCATATTGCTCAGGCTGGTCTCAAACTCCTGGACTCAAGCCATCCACTTGCCTCGACCTTCCAGAGTGCTGGGATTCCAGGCATGAGCCACCGTGCTCGGCCTAATGATTGATTGTGTTATTAAAAAGTCTCTACTTGATGTATCAATTATTGAAAGAGGAATGTTCGTGTTCCCAACTCTCAGGCGACAGAGAGAGACCGTATCTCTAAAAAGAAATGAATTATGCATTCACCTATTTCTCCTCTCAATTCTGTATCTTCTTTCGCTTTATGTATTTCGAGGATTTGTTTTGCGTTGAATACATCATCAAAATCATTTTGTCTTCTTGGTGAATTGCCCCCTTTGTCATTAGATAATGTCCCATTTTACCAGTGGTAATTGTTATTCTTCTGAAGTGTACTTTGCCTGACGTTAACAGGATCTCTCCACTGCGTTTCCGTCTTTTCTTTCTTTCTTTTTTTTTCTTTTTTTTTTGAGATAGAGTCTTGCTCTGTCACCCAGGCTGAAGTGCAGAGGCACGATCTTGGCTCACTGCAACCTCCACCTCCCGGGTTCAAGTGATTCTCCTGCTTCAGCCTCCTGAGTAGCTGGGATTACAGGCACATGCTACCACACCTGGCTAACTTTTGTATTTTTAGTAGAGATGGGGTTTCACCATGTTGTCCAGGATGGTCTCGAACTCCTGATCTTGTGATCTGCCCACCTCGGCCTCCCAAAGTGCTGGGATTACAGGCATGAGCCACCACGCCCAGCCCCATATTTTCATATTGTTGTGGTAAACTGAGGAACGGAGAGACCAATACAGAGTATAGCAGGATTTGTTTATTTTAGGTACGCACCTGCTCACAGGACTCACATCCAAAAGCTGAGCCCTGAACAAAGACAGAGCGGGGTTTTCATAAGCGGCTTTACAGAAGCAAAATAAAAGCAGTTACTCCTACAGTGGCAGGTCACGTCATCTATAGCATCACATAAGTTGTGACTGCGTAGCTGGTGGCCTTGTAACTGCATTGAAAGAAAAACAAGAACTGGCTAAATACAGACATTCATAAAGCATGATCATGCTAATTATGCTTAAGAAGGCTGGGAAAAGAGTAACAGTGAAAGCGTCTGTCTTTCTCTTTTTTCCTTCAACCTTGCTCTGGGAGGGAGGTGGGGTGTCTGGAGCCCATTCCTTTGGCCTTGGCTATTCGGACAGCATTGTCTTCTAACTGTCCTTGAAGCGAGCTGCTAGGAGAGGAAAACTTCTTTTCTTTCTAACCCTCACCTTGCCACATTCTGGGCCTTAGCGTTTACTTTTCTTGGAGTGAATAAATGCAGTACTACTACTACTTATTATTATTATTATTATTTTGAGGCAGAGTCTCGCTCTGTCGCCCAGGCTGGAGTACAGTGGCGCGATCTTGGCTCACTGCAAGCTCCACCTCCCGGGTTCACGCCATTCTCCTGCCTCAGCCTCCCCAGCAGCTGGGACTACGGGCGCCCGCCACCACGCCTGGCTAATTTTTTGTGTTTTTAGTAGAGATGGGGTTTCACCGTGTTAGCCAGGATGGTCTCGATGTCCTGACCTCGTGATCCGCCCGCTTCGGCCTCCCAAAGTGCTGGGACTACAGGCGTGAGCCACCGCGTCCAGTCCTTATTATGATTATTTTAAATTTCTGCCTCAGTATGTTTCTATTCCCGTATGTTTGCCTTTGCTACAAGGGCAAAATACGGAAAATATGTACTAAGCCTCCGTGGCTGTTTTGCAAATAGAAAACCCACAGTTGCAATGGAAAAACCCAGCGGGCTGCCGAGGTAAATAGCATCTTGGATGCTCCAGCTTGATACTAATAAAAGTAAAAATGGCAGGATTGAAAAAAAAAAAAAAAGACCAGGGTTTTCCTTTCTTGCTTGCAAACAAGGGAACCCAATAACATGTTTGGTGAAAGGGCCACATAGATTACAGCATTTGTACAAGAAAAATATTAATTCTAGCTGCTTTGCTGGGAAGATGCATTCTTTTTTTTTTTTTTTTTTTTGAGATGGAGTTTCACTCTGTTGCCCAGGCTGGAGTACAGTGGCGTGATCTCGGCTCGCTGCAACCTCCGCCTCCCGGGTTCACGCCATTCTCCTGTCTCAGCCTCCCGAGTAGCTGGGATTACAGGTGTACACCACCATGCCTGGCTAATTTTTGTATTTTTAAGTAGAGATGGAGCTTCACCATATTGGCCAGGCTGGTCTCGAACTCCTGACCTCGTGATCTGCTGGCCTCGGCCTCCCAAAGTGCTGAGATTACAGGGGTGAGCCACTGCACCCAGCCTATGCATTCATTTTTAAAAAATGAATGTATTTCCAGAAAATTTCCACAGAAATTGCAAAGTAACTGGGCCACGACGTCTTAATTTTTCCCTGCAATTGAGATGTCTGAACACATATGATTCCAGTAATTACAAAGTATATTTTAATATCCAGATGACAGGTAGCTTGAATTTTCCTCCTTGCTTGGAGGATTGTCCAAGCAATGGAGAAACCACATCGTTTCATCAAGGACTTCACCGCTGAGTCCACGAGGGGATGGCAGAGCTTGCGCTTGCAAAAAATATGGGGCAGGGTGGGTTGAGAGGCCAGTTTGGCCTTCACGTTCTCTCCTGTACCACACCATGCACAGTTTAGCCAGGACTCAAAGGAGATGGCCGCTGGAGTCTCAGCCGCTGACTCTCGTTCCCTAGCTGACTTTACTGGGAAGAGGGAAGAGGTACACCTTGTTTATCTCCAGGAGGTGGAATAGGATTAAATGTGGTTCTGCAGAAATGCAGGTGACAGTTCAGTCCAAATGGGGATTGTGATGTGGATATTTGTCCTTCACTGCCTCCTATGTAACAAGAGACCTGGAGGTCTCGGCCGGGCGCAGCGGCTCACGCCTGTTATCCCAGCCCTTTGAGAGGCCAAGGCGGGTGGAATACGAGGTCAGGGGTTTGAGACCAGCCTGGCCAGCATGGTGAAACCCCGTCTCTACTAAAAATACAAAAATTAACCGGCTGTGGTGGTGAGTGCCTGTAATCCCAGCTACTGGGGAGGCTGAGGCAGGAGAATCTCTTGAACCCAGCAGGCGGAGGTTGCAGTGAGCCGAGATGGCGCCACTGCACTCCAGCCTGGGCAACAGAGCAAAACTTTGTCTCAGAAAAGAAAAGAGAGAGAGAGAGAGACCTGGAGGTCTGACACCTAAAATCACTGCTGATGTGGCTGGTATAGGACACACACGTAAACAATCCATAAATACGCAGCAAACAGCCTGCTGATGTGGCTGGTACAGGACACACACGTAAGCAATCCATAAATACGCAGCAAACAGCCTAGTTATTTGACATGGTGCAAACACAAAACAAAATATGATTCTTAAATATTTTCTTTAGTTGAAGAATATGAGCCTGGCTGAGAGACGCTCATTAACCAGGTTAGATAATAGCAAAATTACAAAGAATCTCTGTGCAGAATTTGAGTGCTGTTTCCCCTGAATGCCTGTCTGTGGGGTAAGTGTTAGAATCATCAAAGGAATTGGTTAAAAGTACTATGAGGCCAGGCATGGTGGCTCATGCCTGTAATCTCTGCACGTTGGGAGGCCAAGGTGGGAGGATAGTTAGAGCCTAGGAGTTCAAGACCAGCCTGGGCTATATAAGAACAAGCCCCTCTCTGCAAATAAATAAATAAATAAATAAATAAGCTGGTGTTTGGGTGCACACCTGTAGTCCCAGCTACTCAGGACGCTTTGAAGGGAGGACTGCCTGAGCCCAGGAATTCAAGAACAGCCTGGGTAACATAGTGAGACCCCTGTCACTACAAAAATAAAAAAAAAATCAGCTAGGTGTGGTGGTGCACGCCTGTAGTTTCAGCTACTCAGGAGGCTGAGGTGGAGGGGGGATCACTTGAGCCCAGGAGTTTGATGCTGCAGTGAGCCATGATCACACCACTGCACTCCAGCCTGGGTGACAGAGCAAGAGCTTGTTTCTAAACAATTAACAATTAATAAATCATTCTACTATAAAGACACAGGCACATGTATGTTTCTTGAGGCACTATGCATGGTAGCAAAGACTTGGAACCAACCCAAATGTCCATCAATGATAGACTGGATGAAGAAAATGTGGCACATAGACACCAAGGAATACTATACAGCCATAAAAAAGGAGGAGTTCATGTTCTTTGCAGGCACACGGATGAAGCTGGAAACCATCATTCTCAGCAAACTCACACAGGAACAGAAAACCAAACATCGCATGTTCTCACTCATAAGTGGGAGTTGAACAATGAGAACACATGGACACAGAGAGGGGAACATCACACACCTGGGCCTGTTGGGGGCTGGGGGACAAGGACAGGGAGAGCATTAGGACAAATACGTAATGCCTGCGGGGCTTAAAGCCTAGATGATGGGTTGATGGGTGCAGCAAACCACCATGGCACATGTATACCTGTGTAACACACCTGCACATTCTGCACAGGTACCCCAGAACTTAAAGTAAACGAACAAACAACAAAAAAAAACATACGATAGACCTGGTGTCTAACCGAGTTATAGTCGTCGGAGATAGAAACCAGGAATATGCATTTTTATGGTACATCTGGAGTGAATTTGATGTACAGTCAGGCTGAGGAAACACTTCATGAAAGACGTCAGAAGACACAGATGTAAAACTCAACTGCTTTATTCATCCACTTATGAGTCCTGGAGTTTCAGACGTTTGCTAAAACAGGATGTTCATGGGGCCTGCCTAGTGCCCGGCGTCCGGAGAGAATTCAGTGACAAAACAAATCTGAAAGTCCCTAAGAACTTGCGTTCCAAGACACAAACACACGACCTGCTCTGTGGATGTAATGACTTAGGAGAAAAATGAAGTGTCAACATTTTGCACTAGCAATGTCCAAATAGCCAATCTAATATCAGATACATCGTCTCTGGGAGAGAAATGGAGTGAGTTCCCCAGAGGACAAAGAGAAATGGGAGTTTCTCCTACTCCCCTCCACCCAGGAGGTTTGACAATGCTGATAAGAGTTCCCATATCATCCACGGGCAGAGTCGTTCTGAAACCCAGAGGCGTATCTCATGGGAGCCAAGAGAAAAGGACGACACGTAAAATGGGAAGGATAAAAGGGAATAGACCCCCAATTGTGTGAAATGAGGAAGTGCCCTGTCTGGGAAAACACCAGGTAATTATGTCCTATCCCTCAGCAGATTTCTCCTTCTTTCCTTTTTTTCTTTCTTTCCTTTCTTTTTCTTTCTTTCTTTTCTTTCTTTCTTTCTTTCTTTCTTTCTTTCTTTCTTTCTTTCTTTCTTTCTTTCTTTCTCTTTCTTTCTTTTACTTTCTTCTTTCTCTTTCTTTCTTCTTTCTTTCTCTCTTTTTCTTCTTTCTTTCTTTTTCTCTCTTTCTTTCTCCTTCAGCAGATCTTTCTTCCTTTTTCTTTCTTTCTTTTTCTCTCTTTCTCCTTCAGCAGATCTTTCTTTCTCTTTCTTTCTTTTTCTCTCTTTCTCCTTCAGCAGATTTTCTTTCTTTCCTTTTCCTTTCTTTCTCTTTCTTTCTTCTTTCTTTCTTTCTCCCACAGCAGATTTTCCCTTCCTTCCTTCCTTTTCTTTCTTTCTTTCGTTCATTTGTTCTTTCTCTCTCTCTTTCCCCTCCCTCCCTCCCTCCCTCCTTCCTTCCTTCCTTCCTTCCTTCCTTCCTTCCTTCCTTCCTTCCTTTCTCTCTCTCTCTCTCCCCTCCCTCCCTCCCTCCCTCCCATGTGGCCAGGCTGCTCTCGAACTCCTGACCTCAAGTGATCTGCTTGCCTCGGCCTCCCAACATGCTGGGATTACAGGTGTGAGCCACCATGCCCAGCCTCAAATCAGAAAGTCTCTGAATCCACCTATGACCTGTGGGGCCCCGCTTCCAAATATCCCACCCTTTTAGGCCAAAACCAACGTATAACCTTCTTGTACTGTTTTATGATTTTACCTGTACCTTCTGCTTTCCTGAAATGTATCCCTGCTTGGGGTCAGGTGTGATGGCAAACACCTGTAAGCCTAGCACTTTGCAGGACTGAGGCAGGAGGATCGCCTAAGGTTGGGAGTTTGAGGCCAGCCTGAGCAATCTAGTGAGACCCCATCTCTACAGGAAAATAAAAGAATTAGCCAGGCATGGTGGTGCACACCTGCGGTCCCAGCTACCTGAGAGGCAGCGATGGGAGAATGGTTGCAGCCTGGGAGATCAAGGGTACAGTGAGCCGTGATGGCACAACTGCACTCCAGCCTGGGCGACAGACAGAGACCGTATCTCTAAAAAGAAATGAATACTTTTTTAAAAATTAAAAGCAGCCGGGCGCAGTGGCTCAAGCCTGTCATCCCAGCACTTTGGGAGGCCAAGGTGGGTGGATCACAAGGTCTGGAGTTCGAGACCAGCCTGGGCAACGTGGTGAAACCGCGTCTCAACTAAAAATACAAAAATTAGCTGGGTGTGGTGGTGGGTGCCTGTAACCCCAGCTACTGGCGAGGCTGAGGTAGGAGAATCGCTTGAACCCGGGAGGCGGAGGTTGCAGCGAGCCGAGATCACGCCACTACACCCCAGCGTGGCAACAGTGAGACTCTGTCTCAAAAAAAAAAAAAATTTGAAATTAAAAGCCATTAGAGGAGTCAGGGCTTAAGCATGAACTGCTCGATTCTCCTTGCTTGGCGCCCTGCAAGTAAACATCCTGTTTACTCCCACTGCAAGACCTCGGTGTGGATGTTTGGCCTCACTGTGCCCGGCTGGTGGACGCCAGTTCCAATCAGTAACCATTTTTGAAAAAATGCAGCAGGAAAGCGCCCGCCGCTGGATCTGAGCATCCTCTCTGGAGGTTTACTGTTAGCAGCAGAATCCGACCGTGAGCCAATTCTCTTCCCCCAAATCAGCAAGGGTCAAAAAGACACTTGACAGACCAGGCAGGGAGGAACAGCTCCTGGGGGCCGCAGCTGGGCTTCGCTGATGTAGAAATGATTCCACACTGAGTCCAAGGGGAAGGATGGAGCAGAGAACGGGAGGAAGCTGAGGGGTTGCCGTGGGGATGACGCTGCCTGGAGATGAGCTGTCATCTTGTGGCAGATGAGCAGGCTGCCCAGGAGGACTCAGCAAGCGCATCTCTACTGACATCAAGGTCAGGAGCCAAGTACAAGGGCAGGGTTTTTAGGGCAGACACAACCTCACAACTCTCTCGCACGCTCATCCAGGGAGAAAATCCAGCCCCACGGAAAGAGGCTGGAGGCAGAGGGCCAAAGGAAGCAAACAGGAATGGTAGAAAGACAGCATTTGTGCAGTCTCTTCAGAAACAGAGACACACCCATCGCTTAAGAAGCAGGATGCTCCATCTTGCACCCTGTCTGTTCTGCAAAGAGGATTTCGGGCAGCAGACGGGACAAGCTGCCAGCGTCTCTGCTGTAAGGATGAGGCGCTGACAAAATGCCAAGGGGATGCTTTCGCATCTGCAGTCCAATGACAGAAACTCGTAGGCGATCAAATGGAAGCAAGGGAGACTCGAGGCAGAGGTGAATGAGGACTCAAGTCAGCAATGAGCTTGACACCCTTTGAAGCGAGTGGAAGGGCAGCTTCCAAAAAGATAGGTCCGTGTGCCAGGCCCTGGTACCTGCAAATAGGACCTTATTTGGAAGTAAGAACTTTGCAGATGTCTTTAGTTAAAGTGCTCCAGATGAAATCATCTTAGATTCAGGTGGACCCTAAATCCAGTGAGCAGCATCCTTTGAAGAGGCAGAAAGCAGGCCGGGCGCAGTGGCTCAAGCCTGTCATCCCAGCACTTTGGGAGGCTGAGGCAGATGGATCACGAGGTCAGGAGTTCCAGACCAGCCTGGCCAATGTGGTGAAACCCTGTCTGTACTAAAAATACAAAAATTAGATGGGTGTGGTGTCGTGCACCTGTAGTCCCAGCTACTCGAGAGGCTGAGGCAGGAGGATTGCTTGAATTTGGGAGGTGGAGGTTGCAGTGAGCCGAGATTGTGCCACTGCACTCCAGCCTGGTGACAGAGAGAGACTCTCTCAAAGAAAAAACAAACAAACAAAAACAGAGACAGAAAAGCAGGCAGAGACACAGAGAAAGCCACGTGGACATGGAGGCAGAGACTGGAGTGATGTGGCCACAGTCCCAGGGACATCTGTGGAGCCCCCAGGAGCTGGGAAAGGCAGGAAGGATGTTCCTCTACAGCCTCTGGGGAGAACTGGATATAATTATACTGGATTGAACATTGGCCCCTAGAAAGATCTGTCCACATCCTAAAGCCCAGAACCTGGCAATGAGACCTTATTTGGAAATAGGGTCTTTGCAAATGTGATTAACAGAAGGATCTTGAGATGAGATCATTCTGGAGTAAGGTGGGCCCTAAGTCTGATGACAGGTGTCCTTCTAAGAGACAGAAGGGGAGACACAGACACAGAGGAGAAGGCCACGTGGAGACAGAGGCAGAGACTGGAGTGATGTGGCCACAAGCCCAGGGACACCTGGAGCCCCCAGGAGCTGGGAGAGGCAGGAAGGACCCTCCCCTAGAGCCTCCAGAGGGAACTGGATACAACTGTACTGGATTGAACAGTTGTCCTGGCAAAAGATATGTCCAGGTTCTGATCCCCAGAATGCATGGATAGCACCTTAATTGGTAGTAAAGCACTTCATATGTGTAATTAGTTAGGGGTCTTGAGATGAGGTCATCCTGAATTAGGGTGGGCTCTAAATGCAATGGCAGGTGTCCTTGTAAGAGACAGAAGAGGAGACACAGACACAGAGGAGAAGGCCACGTGGAGACGGAGGCAGAGACTGGAGTGATGCGGCCACAAGCCCAGGGACAACTGGAGCCCCCAGGAGCTGGGAGAGGCAGGAAGGACCCTCCCCTAGAGCCTCCGGAGGGAGCACAGACCTGCAGACACCTTGATCTCAGACTTCTGGTCTGCAGAAATGGGAGCGAATAAACTTGTGTTCAGCCCTGCAGTTTGTGGTAGGTTTTTATAGCAGCCCTAGGAAAGTAGCATACAGTGTTACAGACTTAGGAGAAAAAGTATTGTATCATCCATGGGTCTCATGCAAATGCACACTTTTATTGGCTACAGACACCTGTCTGTTCAATCATCCACTCCACAGGTTTTATTTATTATTTATTTTTTTGAGACGGAGTCTCACTCTGTTGCCCAGCCTCGAGTGCAGTGGTGCGATCTCAGCTCGCTGCCGCCTCCGCCTCCGAGGTTCAAACGACTCTCTGCTTCAGCCTCCCGAGTAGCTGGGATTACAGGTGACTGCCACCATGTCCAGCTATTTTTTTTTTTTTTTTTGACGGAGTCTTGCTCTGTCGCCCAGGCTGGAGTGCAGTGGAGCGATCTAGGCTCACTGCAAGCTCCGTCTCCCTGTTTCACGCCATTCTCCTGTCTCAGCCTCCGGAGTAGCTGGGACTATAGGTGCCCGCCACCACGCCCAGCTAATTTTTTTTTGTATTTTTAGTAGAGATGGGGTTTCACCGTGTTAGCCAGGATGGTCTCGATCTCCTGACCTTGTGATCCGCCCGCCTCGGCCTCTCAAAGTGCTGGGATTACAGGCATAAGCCACTGCGCCTGGCCCACAGTTTCTTAGTGCCTCCTGAGAGCACGGCTTTTGGCTAAATTGAAGACACCAACTGCACTCCTGGCTGCAAAGGCTTTGAGCTCCAGACTTAATTAATATTCACATATTGATCCTTGTAAGCTCTCAGGGTCCAGGGAGAGCCATGTGGGTCTTCCTAACTTCATACACTTTGCACACAATACACAAGTCTTTCCCAGTGTTTGGCCAGTTCTCTAGTAAGGAGAAGCTGTGTGTGTCGGCTCGGGCTGAGGCTGGGCCAAAGTGTATGGATCTGGGGGGAGGGAGTGAGAATCGGAAGAAAAGTTTGATCAATTCAGGTTGTAGATATAGTTAGTTAGGGATCTTGAGAAGAGGTCATCCTGGATTAGCGTAAACCCTAAATTGAAAGGCCAATGTCCCTGTAAGGCACAGAGGAAGGGACCGGGCATCGTGGCTGACACCTGTAATTCCAGCACTTTGGGAGGCCGAGGCAGGCAGATTGCCTGAGGTCAGGAGTTCGAGACCAGCCTGGCCAACATGGAGAAACCCCATCTCTACTAAAAATACAAAATTGGCCGGGCGTGGTGGTGCATGCCTGTAATCCCAGCTATTCCGGAGGCTGAGGCAGGAGAATCACTTGAACCCGGGAGGTGGAGGTAGCAGTGAGCCGAGGTCGTGCCATTGCACTCCAGCCTGGGCAACAAGAGCAAAACTCCTCTCAAAAAAAAAAAAAAAAAAAAAGAGACAGAGGAGGAGACACAGACACAGAGGAGGAGGTCACATGGAGACAGAGGCAGAGACTGGAGTGATGTAGCCACAAGCCCAGGGACGCCTGGAGCCCCCAGGAGCTGGGACAGGCAGGAAGGATCCTCCCCTAGAGCTTCTGGAGGGAGCATTTCCTTGAGACACCTTGATCTCAGACTAGGGAATTTTGTCTAGACTGGCAATGGGACAAGAAATTCAGCTCATCATTTACTAGACAAAGGTGGGAAATTCGGAGGTTTTGGATCTGGCTTTGTCTTAAGTAGAAAAAGAGACATCCACAAGCCTTATATGTAAGGCCTATGAGGAAGGGAACTCTTTGGAATAAGGTATTTTCTGGAAGACAAACAAAGGTCAGGGTATTTCTTGGTTAGGATGTTTTCCAGGAGCATAGGTGCTGTGGTCTGAATGTTTCTGCCCCTTCACATTCCTCTTTTGAAATCCTAATTCTCCAGGTGATGATATGAGGAGGTGGGGCCCTTGGGAGGTGACGAGGTCGTGAGGGAGGAACCTCATGAATGGGATGAGTGCCTGGGTGAGTCCATTTTATGTTGCTATAAAGGAATGCCAGCTGGATGTGGTGGCTCACGCCTGTAATCCCAGCACTTTGGGAGGCCAAGGTGAGTGGATCACCTGAGGTCAGGAGTTCGAGACCAGCCTGGCCAACACGGTGAAACCATGTCTCTACTAAACATACAAACAATTAGCCAGATGTGGTGGTGGGCACCTGTAATCCCAGCTACTCGGGAGGCTGAGGCAGGAGAATGGCTTGAACCCGGGAGGCAGAGGTTGCAGTGAGCTGAGACTATGCCACTGCACTCCAACCTGGGTGACAGAGAAGACTCCATTCAAAAACAAAAACAAAAACAAAAAAGGAATGCCTGAGGCTGGGTAACTTATAAAGTGAAGAGATTTATTTGGCTCACAGTTTTGCAGACTGCACAAGGAACACCAACGTTGACTGCTAGTGAGGCTCTCAGGAAGATTTCAACCGTGGTGGAAGGTGAAGAGCAGCTGGCACGTCACAGGGTGAGAGAGAAGACAGGAGGGAGAAGGCAGGGAGGTGTCAGGCTCGTTTTAGCAACCCGATCTCAAGTAGCCAAATGTCCAACAATGATAGACTGGATTAAGAAAATGTGGCACATATACACGATGGAATCCTATGCAGCCATAAAAAAGTATGAGTTCATGTCCTTTGTAGGGACATGGATGAAGCTGGAAACCATCATTCTCAGCAAACTATCGCAAGGACAAAAAACCAAACACCGCATGTTCTCACTCATAGGTGGGAATTGAACAGTGAGAACACATGGACACAGGAAGGGGAACATCACACACCAGGGCCTGTTGTGGGGTGGCGGGAAGGGGGAGGGATAGCATTAGGAGATATACCTAATGTAAATGATGAGTTAATGGGTGCAGCACACCAACATGGCACATGTACACGTATGTAAGTAACCTGCACGTTGTGCACATGTACCCTAAAACTTAAAGTATAATAAAACATAAAAAAATAAAAAAAAACTCCGGAAAAAAAAAAAAGAAATCATCCATTACCATGGGGAGGGCTCCAAGCCGTGTATGAGGAATCCACTTCCGTGACCCACATGCCTCCAGCCAGCCCTACCTCCAACATTGGGAATCAGATTTCAGCGTGAGATTTGGAGGCAACAGATCCGCACACGATTATCAGCGTCCTTATAAAAGAGACCCCACAGAGCTCCCTCGTCTCTTCCACCATGTGAGGACACAGTGGGAAGGTGCCGTCTATGAACCAGGAAGCGAGACCCCACAGAGCTCCCTCGTCTCTTCCACCATGTGAGGACACAGTGGGAAGGTGCCGTCTATGAACCAGGAAGCGAGACCCCACAGAGCTCCCTCGTCTCTTCCACCATGTGAGGACACTGTGGGAAGGTGCCGTCTATGAACCAGGAAGCGAGACCCCACAGAGCTCCCTCGTCTCTTCCACTATGTGAGGACACAGTGGGAAGGTGCCGTCTATGAACCAGGAAGCGAGACCCCACAGAGCTCCCTCGTCTCTTCCACCATGTGAGGACACTGTGGGAAGGTGCCGTCTATGAACCAGGAAGCGAGACCCCACAGAGCTCCCTCGTCTCTTCCACTATGTGAGGACACAGTGGGAAGGTGCCGTCTATGAACCAGGAAGCGAGACCCCACAGAGCTCCCTCGTCTCTTCCACCATGTGAGGACACTGTGGGAAGGTGCCGTCTATGAACCAGGAAGCGAGACCCCACAGAGCTCCCTCGTGTCTTCCACCATGTGAGGACACTGTGGGAAGGTGCCGTCTATGAACCAGGAAGTGGGTTCTCCCCAGGCTCTGAAGCTGCCAAGCCTTGATCTTGGATATTCAGCCTGCAGAACTATGAGCAATAAATGGCTGTTGTTTATAAGCAATGTGATATTTTGTTACAGCAAACTGAAAAGGCTGACACACAGTAGCGGCTCTCAAGTACTTAGAACTGGAGTAACTTAAATGGTAGAAATGGATGCTTCCAGAGGGCAGAATTTTTTTGTTTGTTTGTTTGTGTGTGTGTGTGTTTGTTTTGAGATGGAGTCTTGCTCTGTGGCCCAGGCTGGAGTGCAATGGCATGATCTCGGCTCACTGCAACTTTCGCCTCCCAGGTTCAAGCTATTCTCCTGCCTCAGCCTCGTGAGTAGCTGGGACTACAGGCGCCCGCCACCACACCCGGCTAATTTTTTGTATTTTTAGTAGCGATGGGGTTTCACCGTGTTAGCCAGGATGGTCTCGATCTCCTGACCTTGTGATCCACCTGCCTCAGCCTCCCAAAGTGCTGGGATTACAGGTGCCCGCCACCAAGCCCGGCTAATTTTTTGTATTTTTAGTAGAGACAGGGTTTCACCATGTTGGCCACGATGCCCTCGCTCTCCTGACCTCATGATCCACCTGCCTCGGCCTCCCAAAGTGCTGGGGTTACAGGCATGAGCCACCGCGCCCGGCCTCAGAAGTTTTAAAATCAAGGTGTTAGCGGGGGGTTGGTTTCTTCTGCAGTCTGCAGTAGAACTGGTACCATGCTTCTCTGCTAGCTTCTGGTAGCTCCAGTCATTCCTTGACTTGGAGGTGGTCTTTTCTCCATCTTCAAGTTGTCTTTCCTCAGTGCATGGGTATGTGTGTCTCTTCTCCTCTTCACATAAAAATACTGATCTACAGCTGAGCACGGTGGCTCACACCTGTTATCCCAGCAGTTTGGGAGGCCAAGGCGGGCAGATCATGAGGTCAGGAGATCAGGACCATCCTGGTTAACACAGTGAAACCCCGTCTCTGCTAAAATAAAAAAAATTAGCCAGGTGTGGTGGCACGCACCTGTAATCCCAGCTACCTGGGAGGCTGAGGCAGGAGAATCGCTTGAACCCAGGAGACGGAGGTTGCAGTGAGCTGAGATCACACCACTGCACTCCAGCCTGGGCAACAGAGCGAGACTCTGCCTCAAAAAAAAAAAAAATGCTGATCCTCTCACATTAAGGTCCAGGAGATGTACAGTTGGCAAAGCTGACCGTCTTCAGTGAGATATTATGGTGTAGATATCATCAAACCATTATCCTTTCTCTTATGTTGCCTCTTGAATCATTCAATTTGCCTTCTAAGCCTTTTCAAAAGTCCTAATGAAGCTGCCCAAAGCATTGGTTACTTTATGTGATGTTCATAAAATAAATTAACTCCATTCCTGGGCTAATAATCAAAGAGAGAGATTCATGTCCTTGATCAATAGTTTCAATGATAACATAGGAAGAGGCTTGGTCTGCTGTTAATACAAGGAGCACATAACTTCCTGTATCTAGCAGAAAGCACAGGACCCAACCAAATACAAGATCAAAACTCATCATTTTCAAAGCATTTGCTTGGGGCAAGGACTGTGCCTGACAAGTTGATTACTCAGCTTGTTGCCAGTGGGAAGTTCCTGGTTTTCCTCTTGCATTTTCCAGCTGATCTTCACAGTCACATCGTTATGTGTTCAGACAAGCGGATGGATTCTCAGGTATTCTTGAAAATGAAGTTGAGTGAACCAAAAATGACCCGGGCACTTGTACCCTAAGACCTCTTTCTTTCTCTCTTTCTTGCTTTCTTTGCTTTCTTTCCTTTTCTTTCCCTTCCTCCCTTCCTTTCTTGCTTTCTTCCTTCCTTCCTTCCTTCCTTCCTTCCTTCCTTTCTTTCTTTCTTTTTCTTTTTTTCTCTCCTTCCTTCGTTCATTCCTTCCTTCCCTTCCCTCCCTCCCTCCCTTCCTTCGTTTCCCTTTCCTTTCTCTCTCTCTCTTTCTTTCTCTCTCTCTTTCTCTTTCTTTCTTTCTCTTTCTCTCTCTTTCTTTCTTTCTCTTTTTTCTTTCTTTTTTTCTCTCCTTCCTTCCTTCCTTCCTTCCTTCCCTTCCCTCCTTCCTTCCTTTCTTCGTTTCCCTTCTTTCCTTTCTCTCTCTCTCTTTCTATCTCTTTCTTTCTCTCTCTCTCTCTCTTTCTTTCTTTCTTTCCTTCCTTCCTTCCTTCTTTCCTTCTTTCTCTCTCTCACTCTCTCTCAGAGTCTTGCTCTGTCACCCAGGCTGGAAGTACAGTAGTGCAACTTGGCTCACTGCAGTGTCTGCCTCCCAGGTTCAAGCAATTCTCCTGCCTCAGCCTCTTGAGTAGCTGGGATTATAGGCGTGTGTCACCACACCTGGCTAATTTTTGTATTTTTAGTAGAGACGGGGTTTCACCATGTTGGCCAGGCTGGTCTTGAACTCCCAACCTCAGGTAATCCGCCCACCTCAGCCTCCTAAAGTGCTGGGATAACAGGCGTGAACCACTGCGCCTGGCCTCCCTAAGACGTTTTTAAGGAGTGTTCACCTTTCAAGACTCATTGGAAAATCCCACCATCCAGACAACACTCACGTTGACCTCCGTGATGAAGCACCAACCTGTGTTGGTTGATACTTCCAAACAACAGATCAACTCTCTGTCAGGCTGAAAGGAATCCAGAGCTATAGGGATGTGATGGAGTGACTGACTGGCTTCAACGACTGGACAATGGATTACATCGAGGACTTTAGGGCAACTTATCTATTCTAGTTCTAATTCCAGTTCAGATTCCACTACGTTTCAGCACAGTGCCTCATCTTAATAGTCTCCATGAACTTCAAAACAATCTTTGCCGCGTTTCAATTCTACTTCCAGGGACTTTAAGAGCGTGGCTTGTATGTAGTGTGATAATGACAGAACATCCTCGGTGTAAGAGTTAAAGAGGGCCAGGCACGGTGACTCACACCTGTCATCCAGCACTTTGGGAGGCCGAGGCGGGTGGATCATGAGATCAGGAGATCGAGACCATCCTGGCTAACACGGTGAAACCGTGTCTCTACTAAAAATACAAAAAAGCCGGGTGTGGTGGCGGGCGCCTGTAGTCCCAGCTACTAAGAGGCTGAGGCAAGAGAATGGCGTGAACCCAGCAGGCGGAGCTTGTGGTGAGCCGAGATCGCACCATTGCACTCCAGCCTGGCCACTGAGTGAGACTCTGTCTCAACAACAACAACAAAAAAAGAGTTTAAAGAAAGAGAAAAGAAACACGGAAAGCAACTCAACAGTCAAAGACAGGTTTATTTTGGAGGATAAATATGAGACGGGCTTCTGGCTGATTTCGGTCAGGAGCGTTCTTTCTTAATAGATCAAGGGTATTTAAGGGTTTAGGAAGGGGGGAGGTTATCACGTGTTCGGAATGTTTGTACGTGAGGGGAAAGTTTATTTTGGGACCGGAATGTCTCTGGTCAGAGGGGAGGCTATCTCAGGGTTGGCATGTTTCTGCTTGGAAGTGGGTTTATCTTAGGGATGGAATGTTTCTGGTTATGCTGACATTAGCCATTAGGCTGATGTTTGGGGGCTGGATTTGGGCGATTTTTTAATCAAGGGAAACTTCAAATGGCAGTGTTTGTCTAAGAGGGTGAGGCTCCTGCTTTGCCACTTAGGAAGCTCTGAAAGGTCTCATGGGGTGGCCTGGTGAATTTCCCTGGCATCTGAGAAGCGGTTCTCGTTCCAGCTCCCCTAAAATTGAAAAGGCTGCCTTTTTTTAAAAAATTGTTTTATTTTATTTTATTTATAAAATTTATTTATTTATTTATTTATTGCTTCTCAGGCTGTGAAGGACTGGCGGATAGTCAACCATCCGTCCAAGCTCCATTCCACCTCTTGGCTTGAGCTTGGCTTGAGGAATCCCTCCACCATGTCACTTTACAGCCTTCTGGTCGAATCCGGGAACATTCCACTGACCTTGCATTTTTTCCTCCTGCTGAGTCTCCTGACTCACCAAGTCCCGGGCCAACCAAAATGGCCGAGGCCACAGGGAGCATGGACCAGGCCACCCATGAGACTATCATGGGCAGGTACTCTTTCTCAAGCATCTAATTTTTTTTTCCTGCCTCCTTTTGACCTAACCATGTTTCTCACTGCCATTTGCTCATCTCTGCTTTGGACAGCTTCTGACCCATTGCTCAGACAATAATATGGTTCTTTTTTTTTTTTCTTTTTTTTTGGATGGAGTCTCGCTCTGTTTCCGGGCTGGAGTGCAGTGGCATCATCTCGGCTCACTGCAACCTCCGCTTCCTGAGTTCAAGTGATTCTCCTGCCTCAGCCTCCCGAGTAGCTGGGATGACAGGCACATGCCACCATGACTGGCCAATTTTTGTATTTTTAGTAGAGACGGGGTTTCACCATGTTGGCCAAGATGGTCTCGATCTCTTGACCTCCTGATCCTCCCACCTCGGCCTCCCAAAGTGCTGGGATTACAGGCGTGAGCCACCATACTCAGACAATAATATGGTTCTTTCTCCTTTCCCACAGAGATCACCTACCAGCTTGGACCAATCATTTGGGCCCCAGGTAGAGGCCTCTAGGTCTATAGCTGCAGGTTTGGAGTGATGAAGCCCGGTAGATAGACAAAGCTCCCAGCGCCATCCTGAGACACACTGATGTTCCCCTGGCTCTCTGAAGCCTCTGTCACAGTTCCTCCAGCTGAGCTAGCTCTCCATACCTCTGGCCACCCCATAGCAACCCTCAGTTCCCCCATACGCTCCCTACTCAAAGTGTGGTCTATGGACCAGTGGTATTCGCATCACTGGGTACCTTACTAGACATTCAGCATCTCAGGCTTCCCTAGATCCACTGAGTCAGAATTCCAGTTTCACAAGCACAAGGAAGGTTTGAGAGCCGCCATGCTGGCCATCCTGCCCATGGTGGGAGACAGCTGTTGAATCCTATCAAGGAATCCGAGATGGTGGTTAGTTGTGTAACCTGTTTCTTGCTCTTCTGACAGAATTCCCGCAGTGGCCCACGCCTGTCATCCCACCACTTTGGGAGGCCGAGGTGGGCGGATCCCTTGAGGTCAGGAGTTTGAGACCAGCCTGGCCAACATGGTGAAACCCCGTCTCTACTAAAAATACACAAATTAGCCGGGCGTGGAGTCTGAGGCAGGAGAATCTTTTGAACCTGGGAGGCGGAGGTTGCGGCGAGCTGAAATCATGCCACTGCACTCCAGCCTGGGCAAGATAGTAAGACTCTCTCTCAATAATAATAATAATAATAATAATAATAAAATAAATAAATGCACACACTGCCTTTAGAAAACCCTCTAGTGTGCAAGTCGAGTCACAGACAGAAAGGCTAAGGAGGTTTTTGGTTGGGAGAGATTTTTTCCTTTTCTTTTTTTTTTTTTTTTTGAGACGGAGTCTCACTCTGTCACCCAGGCTGGAGTGCAGAGGTGTGATCTCGGCTCACTGCAAGCTCCGCCTCCCGGATTCACGCCATTCTCCTGCCTCAGCCTCCCGAGTAGCTGGGACTACAGGCACCCGCCATCACACCCAGCTAATTTTTTGTACTTTTCTTTTTTGTATTTATTTATGTTTTTGAGACGGAGTCTGGCTCTGTCACCCAGGCTGGAGTGCAGTGGCGCGATCTCGGCTCACTGCAACCTCTGCCTCCCGGGTTCAAGCCATTCTCCTGCCTCAGCCTCCGGAGTAGCTGGGACTACAGGCATCTGCCACCACACCCGACTAATTGTGGTATTTTTAGTAGAGACGGGGTTTCACCATGTTGGTCAGGCTGATCTCGAACTCCTGACCTCGTGATTCACCAGCCTCAGCCTCCGAAAGGGCTGGGATTACAGGCATATGCCACCATGCCCAGCCCATTTTGTGCTTTTCAATGTGTATCGTACAAGGGTTGAATTTCAACCAGGTGCCAGAGTTAACACGGTAGTTGTTTATACTATTGGTCACGTCCTCTGGGGGGTTTTCTTCAAGTGAGTGAACAAAGCTATGCAGGAATTTAAGGCAGGGAAGAGCACCATGCTGTTTCATTCCAATCTATAGCTTTCCACATTGCCACCCATCTGCCAGCCTCCAGCAAAGAAACCATCCGTCAATGCAAAAGCATCGCCCACACATATCCCATTTCTGCCTTGAAACTGTCTCTGGTGGGCCGGGCGCGGTGGCTCACGCCTGTCATCCCAGCGCTTTGGGAGGCCGAGGCGGGCGGATCACGAGGTCAGGAGTTCGAGACCAGCCTGATCAGGAGTTCGAGACCAGCCTGGCCAACATGGTGAAACCCCGTCTCTATTAAAAATACAAAAATTAGCCAGGCACGGTGGTGCACACCTGTAATCCCAGCTACTCAGGAGGCTGAGGCAAGAGAATTGCTTGAACCCGGAGGCAGAGGTAACAGTGAGCCAAGATCGTGCCCCTGCTATCCAGCCTGGGTGACGGAGCGAGAGTCCATCTCAAAACACGAAAACAAAAAAAACAAAAAAAAAGAAAAGAAACTGTCCCTGGTACCGTCTTCTGGTGTTGAGGAAGTTGCCCTTAAAAATAATGTTGCGGGGGCTGGGCGCGTTGCCTCATGCCTGTAATCCCAGCACTTGGGAGGCCGAGATGCGTGGATTACTTGAGGTCAGGAGTTCCAGACTAGCCTGACCAATATGGCAAAACCTCTACTAAAAAGACAAAAAAAATTAGCCAGACATGGTGGCACATATCTGTACTCCCAGCTACTTGGGAGATGGTGGCAGGAGAATTGCTTGAACCCGGGAGGCAGAGGTTGCAGTGAGCCAAGATCACACCACTGCACTACAGCCTAGCCAACAGAATGAGACTCCATTTCAAAGAAAAAAAGGTATGTTGTGGTCTGCACATTAACTACAAACGTAAAAACAGCCAGAAATGATGTTGAAAGGAATCCCGTACAATGAGTACAGAAAGAATTTTCTACTAAAGAAAACAAAGAAAAACAAAAAGACAAAAATCTAGGTCTCCGGGTGTGGTGGCTCGCGCCTGTAATCCCAGCACTTTGGAAGGCAAAGGCAGGTGGATCACCTGAGGTCAGGAGTTCGAACCAGCCTGGCCAACATGATGAAACCCTGTCTCTACTAAAAAAGAAAAAAAAATACAAAAATTGGCCAGACGTGGTGGTAGGCACCTGTAATCCCAGCTGCTCAGGAGGCTGAGGCAGGAGAATCACTTGAACCCGGGAGGCAGAGGTTGCAGTGGGCCAAGACCACACCACTGCACTCCAGCCTGGGCTATACAGAGAGACTCCCTCTCAAAACAAAAATGATAATAATAATAAATAATCTAGGTCATCTACAGAGTCTGCTTTGTATTAATCAAGTTGTCATGAAAAGAAAAAACTTGAGAAAAATGCAGACAGTGAACACATTATGGATAGATGGGATTTGCTATGGCAGTAGATTTTTGGATCAATGTATTGTATTGCACTCTACCTACTGGATTTCCTCTTCTCAGAAAATCCAAAAAACACACAGAAGAAGGTATAATGATTCAAACAGCAAATTAAAGATCAATGGATTTTTTTTTTGCCAACATTTCCTGGACTGTTATTGATATGAATGTACTTGAGTCCACTATTTCTACAATCATCAAGCACTCCTTAAAGAAAAACATAAACCCAGTTATTTTTCTGTATTTATAAGACTCTAAGGATATGCTTCTGGCTTGCACAAAAGCCACAGAACAGAGTGTGATTGATGGGAGCTGTAACAGGGCTGCTGGCTGCTTAGAATTGACAAAGGCGGGAGAAGATGTGGAGAAATAGGAACGCTTTTACACTGTTGGTGGGAGTGTAAACTAGTTCAACTATTGTGGAAGACAGTGTGGCAATTCCTCAGGGATCTAGAACTAGAAATACCATTTGAACCAGCCATCCCATGACTGGTTATATACCCAAAGGATTATAAAATTTTTGCAATCTACCCATCTGACAAAGGGCTAATATCCAGAATCTACAAAGAACATTAACAAATTTACAAGAAAAAACAAACAACGCCATCAAAAAGTGGGCAAAGGATCAGAACAGACACTTCACAAAAGAAGACATTTATGCAGCCAACAGATACATGAAAAAATGCTCATCATCACTGGCCATCAGAGAAATTCAAATCAAAACCACAATGAGATACCGTCTCACACCAGTTAGAATGGCAATCATTAAAAAGTCAGGAAACAACAGGTCCTGGAGAGGATGTGGAGAAATAGGAACGCTTTTACACTGTTGGTGGGACTGTAAACTAGTTCAACCATTGTGGAAGACAGTGTGGCGATTCCTCAGGGATCTAGAACTAGAAATACCATTTGACCCAGCCATCCCATTACTGGGTATGTACCCAAAGGACTATAACTCATGCTGCTATAAAGACACATGCACACGTAAGTTTATGGCGGCACTGTCCACAATAGCAAAGACTTGGAACCAACCCAAATGTCCATCAATGATAGACTGGATTAAGACAATGTGGCACATAGACACCATGGAATACTATGCAGCCATAAAAAAGGTTGAGTTCATGTCTTTGCAGGGACATGGATGAAGCTGGAAACCATCATTCTCAGCAAACTATCGCAAGGACAGAAAACCAAACACCACATGTTCTCACTCATAGGTGGGAATTGAACAATGAGAACACTTGGACACAGGGTGGGGAACATCACACACCGGGGCCTGTGGTGGGGTGAGGGGCTAGGGAGGGAGAGCATTAGGAGATATACCTAATGTAAACGACGAGTTAATGGGTGCAGCACACCAACATGGCACATGTATACCTATGTAACAAACCTGCACGTTGTGCACATGTACCCTAGAACTTAAAGTATAATAATAATAAAAAATTGACGAAGGTGGAGAACCACATCTTTGGGCAAACAATACTAGCTTGCATTCACCTCCATCTTCAACCAAGAATCTGATTTTCTGGGCACAGTGGCTCATGCTTGTAATTGCAGTAACTTTGGGAGGCTGAGGTGCAAGGATCACTTGAACCTAGGAGTTGGAGACCAGCCTGGGCAACGTAGTGAGACCTCAGCTCTACCAAAAATGATAAAATTAGCCAGGCACAGTGGCGCATGCCTGTAGTCCCAGCTACTAGGGAGGCTGAGGCAGGAGGATTGCTTGAGGCAGGGAGTTTGAGATTGCAGTGAGCTGTGAGTGTGCCACTACGCTCCAGCCTGGACAACAGAGAAAGACCCTGTCTCAAAAAAGAAAAACAAACAAACAAGAAAGGAATCTTCACCGGGTGCAGTGGCTCACACCTATAATCCCAGCACTTTGGGAGGCAGAGGAGGGCAGATCACCAGAGGTCGGGAGTTCGCAACCAGCCTGGCCAATATGGTGAAACTCTGTCTGTACTAAAAATAAAAATAAATCAGCTGGGTGTGGTGGTGCACATTTGCAATCCCAGCTACTTGGGAGAGTGAGGTGGGAGAATCGCTTGAACCCAGGAGGCGGAGGTTGCAGTGAGCCGAGATCGCACCACTGCACTCCAGCGTGGGTGCGACAGATCGAGACTCCATCTCAAAAAACAAACAAAAAACAAAAACAATAACAACAACAAAAAGAAAGGAATCTTATTTCTTAGGCTGAGTGTGTACACTCCATATCAAAGCTATTTATGTGGTGGTCCCTGCTGCTCTGATGTTTGTGAGACAGAACGTTGAAATATAAATATCTGGCCAGGTGCGGTGGCTCACACCTGTCATCCCAGCACTTTGGGAGGCCAAGGCGGGTGGGTCACGAGGTCAGGAGATCGAGACCATCCTGGCTAACACAGTGAAACCCCGTCTCTACTAAAAATACAAAAAAATTAGCCGGGAGTGGTGGTGGACGCCGGTAGTCCCAGCTACTCGGGAGGCTGAGGCAGGAGAATGGCTTGAACCCGGGAGGCGGAGCTTGCAGTGAGCCGAGATTGTGCCACTGCACTCCAGCCTGGGTGACAGAGCTAGACTCGGCCTCAAAAAAAAAAAAAAAAAAAAAAAAAAAAAGAAAGAAAGAAAGAAAAGAAAAAAAGAAAAGAAATATAAATATCTGTGCTTTTTAAAAATTTTTCCCTATGTCCTTGTGACAGTCAGTGACAGTTCTCTAGGCCGTGTAGGAAGGAGGAGATGGGGACAACCCCATGAATTAAGTATCACAGCTCTTCTCCCCCACTTCCAAAACCCACTGCCTGGTCATGGAGCAGGCGTTGGGGGGCCTGTCTCTTGGAGCGGTTCAGGAAGATGACCTTCGCCGTGACACCACGTCTAATCCCCCTCCCCGCTCTGTGCCATCTTCCAACCAGAACTGGGGTACAGTCTGTCTAATTCTGGGGTTCAGCTCCTTGTATAATAGCTGCCTCTCTAAACCACATGCTCCCATGTAGCCTGGGCAGGCCATTACCCCCTGGCTAATTTCTCTGCATCTCCCTTCCTTTCTCTTCCTCATTTGCTCCAAAGGGTTTGGAAAGGGCTCTCCCGGTGCGTCTTCACATTCTAGCGATTGCAATTGTCAGCACAGAACAAAACAGCCTAGAACCAGTCGCTTCAAGAATGTTTAATAATATGGCCCCAAGAAAATGTGTGAATTTTTTTTTTTTTTTTTTTGAGACAGAGTCTCGGCTCACTGCAACCTCTGCCTCCCAGGTTCAAGCGATTCTCCTGCCTCAGCCTCCCGAGTAGCTGGGATTACAAGTGTAAGCCACCACACCCGGCTAATTTTTGTATTTTTAGTAGAGATGGGGTCTCACCATGTTGGCCAGGCTGGTCTTGAACTCCTGACTTCAGGTGATCCACCCACCTCGGTCTCCCAAAGTGTTGGGATTACAGGCGTGGGCCAGCGCACCTGGCCAGATTTTTTTTTTAAATAAATCCTTAGTATGGCCCTTACCGACTTTTCCCCTATATCATGCCTGGGACGAGTAGCTCATCTTGCTTCCAGAATCCATGCACGGCAACTTTGTCAAAAGCTGCCTTGTTTTTTGGCAGCCATGCAGGAAAGCCAGGCTGATTGCTGATGTGGGAATGGTACCAGCAATTTGTTCTCTTTGCGAAGGAAAATCACTATGTTGGTTTTCCAGCGTGATTGTTCTTTTGGAGTCTGTCTCATCCAGAAAACAAAACAAAAAAAAGCACCTCACCTCCAAAACGCCACCACCCTCTCGAAAGGCAAAAAAGCTCCCGTCCCTAAACGTGCTTAAATTTTCCTGTTAAGGTGAGTGCTATGAAAAGGTGTCGACGTAACACTGCAACATTGCTGCACATTTTCAAAACAGTTTATTCTTCCTAGTTATCAAACCAACAGTACATGCAAGACCAGCTCCTTGCCAATGGGAGTTTGAGGCCCAGTTGAATTTTTGGAATCATCTCAGAAGTTTCCTTATTTTATTTTATTTATTTTACAGTTTTTTGAGATGGACTCTCGCTCTGTCGCCCAGGCTGGAGTGCAGTGGCGCGATCTCTGCTCACTGCAACCTCCACCTCCCAGGTTCAAGCGATTCTCCTGCCTCAGCCTCCTGAGTAGCTGAGACTACAGGCGCCCGCCACCACGCCCGGCTAACTTTTTTTTTGTATTTTTACTAGAGACGGGGTTTCACCGTGTTAGCCAGCATGGTCTTGATCTCCTGATCTCGTGATCCGCCCGCCTCAGCCTCCCAAAGTCCTTTCCTTTCTTATGACTTAAATTTAAAACCACTTATTAAGACCAAGCACAGTGGCTCACGCCTGTAATTCCAGCACTTTGGAAGGCCGAGGCGAGTGGATCACCTGAGGTCAGGAGTTCAAGACCAGCCTGGCCAACCTGGCAAAACCCCATTTCTAGTAAAAATACAAAAATTAGCCGGGCATTGTGGCGGGCGCCTGTAATCCCAGCTACTCGGGAGGCTGAGGCAGGAGAATCGCTTGAACCTGGGAGGCAGAGGTTGCAGTGAGCCAAGATTGCGTCACTGCACTCCAGCCTGGGTGACAGAGCGAGACTCTGTTTCAAAAAAAAATAAATAAACAAATAAAATTACATATTTAAAAAGCAGTTCCTTGGTATGAGGTTTTAATTTGTGTTTAGACGTTACCTTCATTGTTCTTTCTCACAGAAAAGCCTCAGAGAATGCTTGTTATTATTGGATCCAATTTTGAAGTAAAAAAAAAAAAAAAGTAGGAAATAAAAGAATGAGGCCAGTAACAAAGCTTGGGCTGCATATTTTACAGCTGCCAATTTAAAAATCAATTTCAATTTTTTGATGTTTTCATTGTTTTATTTTTATTGATATTTATTTATTTAGAGACAGAATTTCATTCTTATTGCCCAGGCTGGAGTGCAGTGGTGCAATCTCGACTCACTGCAACCTCCTCCCCCTGGGTTCAAGCGATTCTCCTGCCTCAGCCTCTCGAGTAGCTGAGACTGCAAGAGTGCACCACCACGCCTGGCTAATGTTTGTATTTTTAGTGGAGATGAGGTTTCGCCATATTGGCCAGGCTAGTCTCGAACTCCTGACCTCAGGTGATCCGCCCGCCTCGGCCTCCCAAAGTGCTGGGATGACAGGCTTGAGCCACCATGCCTGGCCTGTTCTCATTGTTTTAAATAATGCAGTGTAATCTCTTAAAATTTTAAAATAATGCACTTTGTGTTAATAATACAAATAAGAATTGCATCTATTTATGGCATGCAACATGATGTTTTGATACAAATACACATTGTGGAATAACTAAATCAAGCTAAACTAAATCCTTCCTGCCTCTCCCAGCTCCTGGGGGCTCCAAGTATCCCTGAGTTAGTCTGCGGTTACATCACTCCAGTCTCTGCCTCCCTCTGCAAGTGGCCTTCTCCTCTTTGTATCCAACTTTTCCCCCTCTTATAAGGCACCAGCCCTTGCATTAGGGCCCTCCTGAATCCAGCATGACCTCCTCTTAACCAAGTACCTTTGCAATGACCCTACTTTTTGATAAGCTCTACATTCAAGATTCTGCGTGAATGTGGATTTCATAGGAGGACCTTGCTCAACCCAGTATAATCATTTTCCAAGTTTTGACTTTCCATCTCAAACACAGTTCCCAGGCCTTTGCATTTTGTATCTTCTCCAAATTTTTTTTTGTTTTTTTAAAGACATAGCCTCACTTTGTCTCCCAGGCTGGAGTGAAGTAGCGCGATCTTGGCTCACTGCAACCTCCGCCTCCTGGGTTCAAGCAGTTCTTCTGCCTCAGCCTCCCAAGTAACTGGGATTATAAGCATGCGCCACCACACCCGGCTAATTTTTGGCATTTTTAGTAGAGACGGGGTTTCACCATGTCGCCCAGGCTGGTCTTGAACTCCTGACCTCAAGTGATCCGCCAGCCTTGGCCTCGCAAAGTGCTGGGATGACCAGCACTATTAATTTTTTAAGAGATGGTGTCTTGCTCTGTATGTAGCCAAGGCTGGAGTGGAGTAGCATGATCAGGGCCTCTACTTCATAAGCTCAAACAATCCTCCTGCCTCAGCCTCCTGAGTAGCTGAGACTACAGGCATGCACCACCATGTCCAGCTAAATTCTAAAAATTTTTTGCAGGCTGGGTGCGGTGGCTCACACCTGTAATCCCAGCACTTTGGTACAGCATAGGAAATGCATGCCCTTTTCTCTGTCCACTAAACCTACCCTGGCCCTGCCTCTGTGAATATTTTGCTGCCTTTCCTGCCATCTTGGGATGGACTGGTCAGCGGAATCTGGGAGGACTCATGACTTTCTTCTTGGTGCACTGTCTCTCCTAGTTTTCCATCACTCTTTTTCTTTTCTTTTCTTTTCTTTTTTTGAGACGGAGTCTCTCTCTGTCGCCCAGACTGGAGTGCAGTGGTGTGATCTTGGCTCACGGCAACAACCTCCGCCTCCTGGGTTGAAGTGATTCTCTTGCCTCAGCTTCCCAAGTAGCTGAGCTTACAGGTGCCCGCCGCCATGCCTGGCTAATTTTTGAATTTTTAGTAGAGACAGGGTTTCATCATATTGGTCAGGCTGGTCTTGAACTCCTGACCTCAGGTGATCCACCCACCTCAGGTTCCCAAAGTGCTGGGATTACAGGTGTGAGCCGCTGTGTCTGGCCCCATCACTCTTTCTTTGCTCACTCCTTATTCTTCTTTCTTGAGGATTCAGTCTCCTCCGTCTGACTTTTAACCATCTTTTTTTTTTTTTTTTTTTGAGACGGAGACTTTCTCTGTCACCAGGCTGGAGTGCAATGGCATGATCTAGGCTCACGGCAACCTCTGCCTCCTGGGTTCAGGTGATTCTCCTGCCTCAGCCTCCCACATAGCTGGGACTACAGGCATGTACCACCATGTCCGGCTAATTTTTGTATTTTTACTAGAGGTGGGGTTTCTCCATGTTGGCCAGGGTAGTCTCGATCTCTTGATCTCGTGATCCACCCGCCTCGGCCTACCAAAGTGCTGGGATGACAGGCGTGAGCCACCATCTTAATTTCCTTAAGGTGAGTCCTAGACCTTCCTTGCCGTGTGCTGCTGGACGCAATTTTGTCTTCACTCACAGCACGATCCACCAATGACTCTCACACAAGTATCTCTGCCCAGCTGGCTCTACCTCTGCAAATCTCATTGCTTTCTCAACAGCGAACCTTGAATGAGTCCCGGGTATGTCTGAAACAACCCCCTAGACTATCCTCCGTGTCTCTCTCTGTTTGCAGGGCTATAGATAAGTACCTCAAGCTGGGTAATTTACAAAGAAAAGAAGGCTGGGAGCAGTGGCTCACACCTGTCATCCCAGCACTTTGGGAGGCTGACACGGGTGGATCGCTTGAGGTCGGGAGTTCTAGACCAGCCTGGCCAACATGGTGAAACCCCATCTCTACTAAAAATACAGAAAAAAAAAAAAAAAAAAAAGCTGGGCATGGTGGCAGGTGCCTGTAATCCCAGCTACTTGGGAGGCTGAGGCAGGAGAATTGCTTGAACCTGGGAGAAGGAGGTTGCAGTGAGCTGACATCATGCCACTGCACTCCAGCCTGGGCAACGAGAGCGAAACTTCATCTGAATGAATGAATGAATGAATCAATCAATCAATCATTCAATCAATGAAATAAAGGTTTATTTGGCTCCCAGTTCTACAGGGTACACAGGAAGCATGGCGCCCACATCTGCTTCTGATGAAAACCTCAGGAAACTTCCACTCCTGGTGGAAGGGGACAGAGAGCTGGCGTGTACAGAGAACACACAGCACAAGAGACACAGCTGAGGTGCCGGGCTGTTTTCAAAAGCCAGCTCTTCTGGGAACTAAAAGTAAGAAATGCCCATCAATGATAGACCGGATAAAGAAAACGTGGCACATAGACACAATGGAATGCTATGCAGCCATAAAAAAGGATGAGGCCATGTCCTTTGCAGAGACATAGATGAAGCTGCAAACCATCATTCTCAGTAAACTAACACAGGAACAGAAAACCAAACACCGCACATTCTCACTCATAAGTGGGAGTTGAACAATGAGAACACATGGACACAGGGAGGGGAACATCACACACTGGGGGCCTGTCAGGGGGTGAGGGGCTAGGGGAGGGGGAGCATTAGGAGAAATACCTAATGTAGATGATGGGTTGATGGGTGCAGCAAACCACCATGGCACATGCATACCTATGTAACAAACCTGCACGTTCTGCACATGTATCCCCAGAACTTAAAGTGTAATAAAAAATAAAAATAAAATAAATTAAGTAAGAACCCACTCACTGTCTTGAGAATGGCACCATGCCATTCATGAGGGATTTAACCCCATGACCCAAACACCTCCCGCCAGGCCCCGCCTTCAACACTGGAGATCAGATTTCCACATGAGACTTGGTGGGACCAGACAAACTATATCCAAACCAGAGAATGTCCAAAGTTGATCGTCTCCAGGAATCCCTGTGTTAGGAAATCAGATTGGGTAAGCCAGAATCTCACAGTCAACTTATCCACATGCCACGACGTGGAGAGAAAAAACAGAATCCATCTTTTAGTCTTCTTAGGAAGGAGAAAACTTTCCCCCAAAGCTGTACCCACAGGAGAAGGTCTCTCCCATATTATTGGACAGGGTTCAGTTGCATGTGCTTTTCTAAATCAATCATTGCTGAAGGATCAGCCCTGGAGGGCAGGTAGAAGCAGCCTCCTTGCGGCACAGACTCAGAAAGGAGGAGGCTGGGCGCAGCGGCTCATGCCAGTAATCCCAGCACTTTGGGAGGCTGAGACAGGTGGAGCTCCTGAGGTCAGGAGTTCAAGACCAGCCTGGCCAACATGGTGAAACGCTGTCTCTACTAAAAATACAAAAAATGTTTAGCCAGGTGTGGTGGCGCGTGCCTGTAATCCCAGCTACTTGGGAGGCTGAGGCAGGAGAATCGCTTGAACCTGGGAGGCGGAGGCTACAGTGAGCTGAGATTGCGCCACTGCACTCCGGCTTGGGCAACAAGAACAAAACCCCGTCTCAAAAAACAACAACAACAACAAAAAAAAAAAAAAAAAAAAAGGAGAGACAGAGAAAAGATGAACAAATCAGAGATCTGTTCAGAAGAGGAGGATGCATTTCACAGGCAATGTCCATCCTACAGAGACCCCACTAGCTTTGTTATCTTTATTGCCCCCACCTGCTTGGCAGCAATATTGCTACAGCTGTTAAGTTTCTGCGCTCTTGTAGACGGATCTCAGAAACAGAGACCTCTGCATTTACAAGACGAATGTTTCCAAATGTGCATCGAATTGGATTTTTTAGAGGCGTGGAGATTTAAATCTGATGTACAAAAGCATTTCTTCAGAGCTTAATTACAAATTTACCCCAAAGGATTTATTTCTGACACATTTCATTTCTTCATCCAAATATCCAGAAAGTGGAAAACAGAGAGCTGTGTGCATAGCTTTGATTATGTCAGCATCTAAATCAAGACACTTGTTTGGTTTTAAATTAGTGGAAATTTGGCTTTTGTAGGGAAAAAAAAACACGAAAACATCGTTTGGGGAAAGAACTTCATCTGGAGTCAGAAAATTGTCATCAGTTAAGGAGAAATAAATACCTCAAATTTGCCACATGAAAATGGATGTTATGGTAAATTTAGTCTATTTTTTCTTCCAGCAGATAAAAACACAATTTATCAAAGAGGCACTTGGAAAGTTGAAATCACAGCGACAGTTTCAAGAGAGGCAAAAGGATTTTGAATTATTACCTGTGACATCAAGTCAATATATAAAAGAAAAATTTGCCATCTCTGTATATTCCTTGTGAAATATATTTTAGATTATAGTGTTACAGATAAGTACAAACATAAAGATTAAAAAAAAACCCAAGGATGAATGTGAAGAATACATTTCCCCTTCAGGGTAGTAATTACCTCTGAAGAGAGGAGGGGTAAGGGATGATTTGGGGTCTTCAAATATCTTGCACATATACACACACCCATTTCTCCCCCATACAAATACCTTTTGAAAGAGAATGTTAAAATGCAGTCTCCAATAGACACCAAGATAAAACATGTTTGAAATTTCAAGGTGAGATACACATCATCATACATACATTTACAAACAAGAAGAAAAAAATATGAAACCATTCCCTAACTCTTTACCTTTGCTCCACATTTAAAAACTATGAAAACATGCAAACAATTGGTTGTGAAATCTTTTCTTAGAGAAGTTTTGTGCTAAGAGCCTTTTCCCACCCTAGAAGATGCCTGCTTTCTGTATCAGTCAGCTACACCTGAAGTTATGCTGGATAACAAATAGTCCTAAATCTCAATTCTCTACCATAATAAGTATTTATTTCTTTTTTAAATATGTGAGTCTACCAGTCAGCTAGGTTGGTGCAGATATAGGCTGGGTTACCCCAGGCTAAGCTGAAGGTTGGATTCATGTCTATGCCACATACTGTCATCATTTTGGGACCATAGGGTTTGGCTGTGTCCCCACCCAAATCTCATCTTGAACTGTAGCTCCCATAATGCCCACATGCCATGGGAGGAACCAGTGATTATCCTGGGCACATTTTTCTAATGTTGGAATACAGACGCGCAGAGGAAAGGTCCAACCATGTGATAGGGTTTGGCTGTGTTCCCACCCAAATCTCATCTTGAACTGTAGCTCCCATAATGCCCACATGCCATGGGTGGAACCAGTGATTATCCTGGGCACATTTCTCTAATGTTCAAATACAGACGTGCAGAGGAAAGGTCCAACCATGTGATAGGGTTTGGCTGTGTCCCCACCCAAATCTCATCTTGAACTGTAGCTCCCATAATGCCCACATGCCATGGGAGGAACCAGTGGTTATCCTGGGCACATTTTTCTAATGTTGGAATACAGACGTGCAGAGGAAAGGTCCAACCATGTGACAGGGTTTGGCTGTGTCCCCACCCAAATCTCATCTTGAACTGTAGCTCCCATAATGCCCACATGCCATGGGTGGAACCAGTGGTTATCCTGGGCACATTTCTCTAATGTTCAAATACAGACGTGCAGAGGAAAAGTCCAACCATGTGATAGGGTTTGGCTGTGTCCCCACCCAAATCTCATCTTGAACTGTAGCTCCCATAATGCCCACATGCCATGGGAGGAACCAGTGGTTATCCTGGGCACATTTTTCTAATGTTGGAATACAGACGTGCAGAGGAAAGGTCCAACCATGTGACAGGGTTTGGCTGTGTCCCCACCCAAATCTCATCTTGAACTGTAGCTCCCATAATGCCCACATGCCATGGAAGGAACCTGGTGGGAGGTAATTGAATCACGCAGGCTGGTTTTCCCCATGCTGTTCTCGTGATAGTGAATAAGTTTCATGAGATCTGGTGGTCTTCTGCCAAAAACCAGACTGAAGCAATCAATGTCTCCTTAATTGGGAGACATCATGGAGAGTTCCCCTGCGTAAGCTTTCTTGCTTGCCACCATGTAAGACATGCCTCTGCTCCTCCTTCACCTTCAGCCATGATTGTAAGGTCTCCCCAGCCACGTGGAACTGTGAGTCCATTAAACCTCTTTTTTTTTTTTTTTTAATAAATTACGCAGTCTCAGATATGTCTTTATTAGTAGCATGAGAACGGACATAACACACTGTGTCAACCCCTGTTGTGCCTCCACTGAGGCAGAAATTTAAAAAATAATAAGTCCTGCATTTATTCACTCCAAGAAAAGTCAAAGCTAAGGCCCAGAATGTGGCAAGGCAAGGGTTAAAAAAAAAAAAAGAGAGAAAAGAACAAGTTTTCCTCTGCCTACCAGCTCACTTCAAGGATAGTTATAAAGTAACACTGTCACAGTAGCCAAGGCCAAAGGAATGGGCTCCAGACACCCCACCCGCCTTCCAGAGCAAGGTTGAAGGAAAAAAGAGAAAGACAGATTATTTTACTGTTACTCTTTTCCCAGGCTTCTTAAGCATGACTATGTTTTACAAATGTCTGTATTTAGCCAGTTCTTGTTTTTCTTTCAATGCAGCTACAAGGCCACCAGCTATGCAAGGTCACGAGTTATGTTATAAGGCCGCTTATGAAACCCCCGCTCCGTCTTTGTTCAATGCTGAGCTTTTTAAACGCGATTCTGCTGAGCCAGTGTGTACCTAAAAATAAACAAATCCTCCTGTACTCCGTATTGGTCTCTCCGTTCCTCAGTTTACCGCAACAGCACTGACCAACATTCTATAAGCAAAAACAAATCAGATGGCAGTCCAAAGTTAGTGGGGGCAGGAGGCGTGCTTCTCCCGTGGGGCATGAGCCAGAGACCAGTTAGAGAGGAAGAAGAATTGTGAAGAACTAATAGACTCTCCCACACCTAACTTTTAGCCTGGTAAGAGCGGACTTCAGATGACCGACCCTCAGCACTTGATACGTATACCAGACACACTACATTTCCCTCCGTTTGATCAAATTTACATCTCCAAGAGGCTGATGACTTTGGATTTCATCACCCAAGGTTTCTGGAGCTTTTCTATGTGAATTCAGGGAAGGAGAGACACTGACCAGGCCGGGTGTGGTGGCTCACACCTGCCATCCCAGCACTTTGGGAGGCCGAGGCGGGCGGATCATTTGAGGTCAGGAGTTCGAGACCAGCCTGGCCAATATGGTGAAACTCCGTCTCTACTAAAAAGTACAAAAAAATTAGCTGGGGGTGGTGGCGGGCACCTATAGTCCCAGCTACTGGGGAGGCTGAGGCAGGAGAATTTCTTGAATCCGGGAGGCGGAGGTGTCAGTGAGCTGAGATTGTACCACTGCACTCCAGCCTGGGTGATGGAGGGAGACTCCATCTCAAAAAAAAAAAAAAAAAAAAAAGACTCTAACAAGTAATGGAAGGCGGGGAAGGAAAAAGAGTGTTGGATGTTTATTCTCTGGGTCATTCCATGTTTGGACATATATGGATTTATCTGTGTCCTTCATCAACTACGTCTTTTGTTGGGCAGCCTGTCTGCTGCAGAGACCCTTGCTGTTGAATGAGCCTTAACAGTATCTTGACCTCATTGTCTTTTGACCTGGAAGCTCAGGGGTGATGAAACTTCTCTGCTATGTTAGTAAGCTCTGGGAGGATCCGCAGCCACTGGGAATTTTCTTAACCCTTTCCGTTTATCTGTGCAGGCTTTTAAAAATCCTAAATGAGCAAGCTAGCCATTTTCTGCTAAAAACCAGGCTGATGCAATCCATGCTTCCTCAATTGGGAGGTATCGTGGATTTGGGTGTTACCAACATGAAGGGAGAGTGAGAAACCAGCGGATTAATCAACCTGGCAGTGGATTCGCAGAAGAAATAGTGCCTGTTTGTAGAGTTTCTGAAAATCAATCAGTTTCATGGATTGATTAATGTCTTGTACTCTCCTACTGCATTGTGAATGGATTGCTGTTCAGATCTCTTTTCCTGAGATGTTTTTTATGATGATCTTTGGAATTTCGTCTGCCTCTCTCCTATGTTGGATCTTCCCAATCCTATATCCTTGTATTTCTCCTATTTCTTTCTTTTCTTTTTCTCTTTTCCTTTCCTTTCCCCTTCCTTCCTTCCTTTCTTTCTTTTTTTTTCTCTCTCTCTCCCTTTCCTTCCCTTCCCTTTCCTTCCCTTCCGTCCATCTCTCTTTCTCTCTTTCTTTCCTTCCTTCTTTTCTTTCTTTCTTTCCTTCCTTCTTTTCTTTCTTTTTCTTTCTTTCTCTCTTTCTCTTTCTTTCTTTCTTCCCTTCCTTTCCTTTCCTTTCCCTTCCCTTCCTTCCTTCCTCTTTCTTTCTTTCTTTCTTTCTTTCTTTCTTTCTTTCTTTCTTTCTTTCTTTCTTTCTTTCTTCCCTTCCTTTCCTTTCCCTTCCTTCCCTTCCCTTCCTTCCTTCCTTTTCCTTCCTTCCTTCTTTCTTTTTTCTTTCTTTCTTTCCTTCCTTCATGATTATTGTTTCCTTTTCTTCTCCATTTGTAATTTTTAATCACATTTTACATCCTCCTTTCCATATTCATGCCAATGCCTATTTGCATTTACTACTATAATCTTCATAAATCTGTAAACACAGTACAGTTAAATTAAGAATGCATTTCTGCCTCACGGCCTTCATGTCGAATTAACAAGGTAAATCTCCCCTGAGCCGGCAACGTACATACTGATTTCTTCCATTATTATTTCCAAACACGACGTTTCATTTTCATGAATGTTTCTCTCTGGTGGCTTTATCTGTGCTGTGCAGGCTCTCACAGAAATGGTTGTAATTAAAAAAGAATCACAACCATTCTGTATGTGAAGACACTTCATGCCTGAGTTTGAAAGCATAAGAAGATGTAAAAGTGGGTCTTTTGGTGGATTTCTTTTTCTTGCCTTCGGTGTGTACATCGTGAGGAATGACGCGTATATCATCCTGCTTTGGAAGCTGGAAGATGAGCTGCATTGTGTTACTAGCACCCAAGCGAGGCAGACAGATGGCTTCTCTCCCATCGCTCACAGCCTCCAGGGAAAGAGGTTCCCAGCACCTCCCTGAGGGCAATTTAAAATTAAATTGGAGGACACAGAAGCCAACTCCTCGGAGAGCTGTCACTTTTGGAGAACCCCATACGTGACAATGCATAACTTTCCATCAGCGTTCAACACAGCTCAGCAACATTCTTGAAGGCACTTTCTAAAATTTATTCCAACATGTTACAGCCCAAAACCTTCTCCAACGGACGACGTGGCCAAGATGGCCCGTGCTGCCTTGAGTTTCTCTGACTTCCCTGGCTTTGGGAATGCATTTAGAGCCTCCTGGCCAGGTTGCAGCCTGGATTCTATCCATGGAGGCCATGGCAAAGGTCAAGTGTAAGAAAATTATATTGGAGGCCGTGCCCAGTGGCTCCTGCCTGTCATCCCAGCACTTAGGGAGGCCGAGGTGGGTGGATCACTTGAGCTCAGGAGTTGAAGACCAGCCTGGCCCACATGGTGAAACCCTGTCTCTACTAAAATATGAAAATGAGCTGGGAGTGTTGGTGGACACCTGTAGTCCCAGCTACTCGGGAGGCTGAGGCAGGAGAATTCCTTGAACCTGGGAGGCAGAGCTTGCAGTGAGCCGAGATTGTGCCACTGCACTCCAGCCTGGGTGACAGAGCAAGACTCTGTCTCAAAAAGAAAGCAACAAAGAAAGAAAATTATATTGGAGACGAGAGCTGCCACCGTTCCGCTGTCTTCCTCCTAGTCCTTGGGTATGACCAGACATCAGCTCACCTAATCCCTCACTCCCTGTCTCCCAGCCACCTCTTTGAGTCCCAGAGCCGGCTCTTTCACCAACTTGAACTGCAAAGGGTCACAACGAGGTGGTTCTGTTACGTGACCTTACTCCAGCTCCATCTAAGTACCATGTATGACTTTTTAATTTTTTTGGAGACGGAGTCTCGCTCTGTTGCCCGGGCTGCAGTGCAGTGGCATGATCTTGGCTCACCGCCACCTCCGCCTCCCAGGTTCCAGTCATTCTCCTGCCTCAGCCTCCCGAGTAGCTGGGACTACAGGTACCCACCACCATGCCCGGCTAATTTTTGTGTTTTTAGCAGAGACAGGCTTTCACCATGTTGGCCAGGATGGTCTCGAACTTCTGACCTCAAGTGGTCTGCCTGCCTTGACTTCCCAAAGTGCTGAGAGAACAGGCGTGAGCCACCACACCTGGTCTTTTTGTATTTTTAGTAGAAATGGGGCTTCTCCATGGTGGCCAGGCTGTTCTTGAACTCCTGACCTCAGGTGATCTGCCTGCTTTAGCCTCCCAAAGTGCTGAGATGACAGGCGTGAGCCACCACACCTGGCCTTTTTGTATTTTTAGTAGAGACGGGGTTTCTGCATGTTGGCCAGGCCGGTCTCGAACTCATGACCTCAGGTGATCCACCTGCTTCAGCCTCCCAAAGTGCTGGGATGACAAGCGTGAGCCACCACACCTGGTCTTTTTGTATTTTTAGTAGAGATGGGGTTTCTCCATGGTGACCAGGCTGGTCTCGAACTCCTGACCTCAGGTGATCTGCCCGCTTCAGCCTCCCAAAGTGCTGGGATGACAGGTGTGAGCCACTTCGCCTGGCCCGTGCATGACTTTCAATATGGTGACCCCGTCAGATAACATGGATATCGTCGTTTCAGCCTCATTGAAGCAAATTAATTTATCATTATGAGCTGGGAAGTATGAATGAACTAACAATAGGTTCTCTGAAGACCTTTCAAAGCAGTCCTGTGTTATTCCACCCACCCTAGACCTGGCGGGCACCACACACCCACTCCCACCTGGAAATCTGAATGGGACCCAAGTCCATGGGCTAGCCAATTAAGCGAGCCTTTTCTGCTACTTTTCTGCTACTGTGTGGTGGAACCCAAGTAAGTTCACTTATCTAATTAGTAAAGATTACATAAAAATTCTGAATGTTTACACGTGTAAATAATCTTTATTCCAAGCTGGGCGCGGTGGCTCACGCCTGTAATCCTAGCACTTAAGGAGGCCGAGGCAAGCAGATCATCTGAGGTCGGGAGTTCAAGACCAGCCTGGCCAACATGGCAAAACCCTGTCTCTACTAAAAATACAAAATTAGCTGGGCATGGTGGCGGGTGCCTGTAGTGCCAGCTTCTCAGGACGCTGAGGCAGGAGAATTGCTTGAACCCGGAAGGGGAGGTTGCAGTGAGCTGAGATCATGCCACTGCACTCCAGCCTGGGCAACAAGAGAGAAACTCTGTCTCAAAAAAAAATAATAATAATCTTTATTCCAAAAGATCATTTTTCCAAGTAAGTTCATATTTCCATGTTTGGATATGAGTTTAAACAAGAGCAGATGCCTCCAACTTATGGAGAATGGCTGGGTCTCACCCACTGTCTCGTGTGAGTGGAAAAATAGTAGACCCTGTTTTCAATATTGATCCAGTATTTGCTAAACATTGAAATCATCCTCCCTGGGTTTTCCGTAAAGCTGAAAGCAGCCAGTTTCACGATGTGTGTGGGAATTTAAGATATGAATGTCATTCACAGTCCATTGCTTTTTCACTTTTTTTTTTTTTTTGAAACACACTCTTACTTTGTCGCCCAGACTGCAGTGCAGTGGTATGATCTCAGCTCACTGCAACCTCCGCCTTCCAGGTTCAAGCAATTCTCCTGCCTCCTCCTGCCTCCAGGGTAGCTGGGATTACAGGTGTGCACCACCACGCCTGGCTAATTTTTGTATTTTTAGTAGAGACAGGGCTTCACCATGTTGGTCAAACTGGCCTCAAACTCCTAACCTCGTGAATCCGCCTGCCTTGGCCTCCCAAAGTGCTGGGATTACAGGTATGAGGCACCACGCCTGGCCCCTCCACCTCCCAGGTTTAAGCGATTCTCCTGCCTCAGCCTCCCAAGTAGTTGGGATTACAGGTGCCCGCCACCATGCCTGGCTAACTTTTGTATTTTTAGTAGAGACAGGGTTTCACCATGTTGGCCAGGCTTGTCTCGAACTCCTGACCTCAGGTGATCCGCCGGCCTTGGCCTCCCAAAGTGCTGAGATTACAGGCTTGAGCCACTGGCCCTGGCCGATCTGATGGATTGATAAAGGGGAGTTTCCCTGTACACTCTCTCTTGCCTGCCGCCATGTAAGGCCGCCATGTAAGGTGTGGCTTTGCTCCTCCTTCACTTTCTGCCATGATTGTGAGGTCTCCCCAGCCATGTGGAACTATGGGTACATTAAACCTCTCTCCTTCATAAATTACCCAGTCTCAGGTGTTTCTTTATAGCAGTATGAAAATGGACTAGTACAAGATGTTATTCCAAGGAAGTTTGCTGAATTCAGACCATTTCAGTGTCTCATAAGCTTTATTTTTTATTTATTTTATTTTATTTTATTTTATTTTATTTTATTTTATTTTATATTTTATTTTATTTTATTTTTGAGACAGGGTCTTCCTCTGTCCCCCAAGCAGGAGTGCAATGGCACAATCTTGGCTCACGGCAAACTCCACCTGCCAGGTTCAAGCGATTCTCCTGCCTCAGCCTCCCGAGTGGCTGGAATTACAGGCACGTGCCACCACGCCCAGCTAACTTTTTTGTTGTTGTTGTTGTTTTAGTAGAGATGGGGTTTCACCATGTTGCCCAGGCTGGTCTCGAACTCCTGACCTCACGTGACCCACCCGACTCAGCCTCCCAAAGTGCTGGGATGAGCTTTGTTTTTGTTCCATGCATATTCGTTTGCTAGGGCAAATCTAACAAAATACCACAGAGTGGCTTAAACAACACAAATTTAGACTCACTGTTCTAGGGCACTCTAGACGTCTGAGATTAAGGTGTCCACAGAACTGCATTCCCAGTGAAGGGCCAAGGGTCCGTTTTTCCTGTCTCAAGGACACTATTACAATTTGCATTTGGTTTGTTTGTTGCAGTTGATAACTTTGCCATGCTCACTTTGGCAGCACGTATACTAAAATTGGAATGATAAATTTGCCCTATTATTTTAAACATTTTTACTTTTAACATTAGTACATTTAAATTGCATTTATTTATCATGCACACTATGTGCTTTTGTAACATCTACACACATTGTGGAAAAGCTAAATGAAACTATTGTACATACGCTTTTGGACAGCAGGGTTGTAAAATTGCGATGAGCCACCCAGGTGGACTGAAGGCCGAGAGATGCCTTTGAGTCTATGAGGATGACGTTAGAAAAACGTAGTCCATTGCAGGCCGGGCGTGGTGGCTCACGCCTGTAATCCCAGCACTTTGGGAGGCTGAGATGGGTGGATCACGAGGTCAAGAGATCGAAACCAGCCTGGCCAACATAGCGCAACCCCGTCTCTACTAAAAAAAAAAATACCAAAAAAATTAGCAGGGCATGGTGGCAGGTGCCTGTAGTCCCAGCTATGTGGGAGGCTGAGGCAGGAGAATCGCTTGAACCCGGGAGATGGAGGTTGCAGTGAGCCGAGGTCACACCACTGCACTCCAGCCTGGGCGACACAGTGAGACTCTGTCTCAAAAAAAAAAAAAAAAAAAAGAAAGAAAGGAAAACGCTGTCCACCAGGAACCGACTCTTTCATGGTTGAGTTTCAATTTTCAGGTGCAGGAATGAAATACCTGAATACTTTTGATCAATGCATGTTAGTTTGCTGGGACAGATCTAACAAAAATGCAGCAAACTGAATGGCTGAAATAACAGAAGTGTAGACCCTCTCAGTTCTGGAGTCCAGACATCAAAGTTTAAAGTGTCTGAAGAACTTTGCTTGCTCTGAAGCTCCCAGCCTGTTCCTTTACCCTGTCAAGAACCCTATTACAGTTTACAGTGAACCAATCCTCAGGTTTTGCTTGTTTATTGCAGTTGGTAAATTTGCCCTATTATATTTAAAGTTTTATCGTTTTGAAATTGACAGATTTAAATGGCATTTATTTACCATGGCACGCTATGTTATTTTGCAATATATATATACACATTGTGGAACAGCTAAATCAAGCTAACGTACATATACTTTTGGACAGCAGGGTCATAAAATCGTGCTGGTGGAATGAACGCAGGTGGAATTCTACCCAGATGGGACAGCAGGGTTGTAAAGTTGTGATGAGCCACCCAGGTGGACTGAAGGCCGAGAGATGCCTTTGAGTCTATGAGGATGACGTTAGAAAAACACAGTCCATTGCAGGCTGGGTGTGGTGGCTCACGCCTGTCATCCCAGCACTTTGGGAGGCTGAGGCGGTCGGATCACAAGGTCAAGAGATTGAGACCATCCTGGCCAACATGGTGAAACCCTGTTTCTACTAAAAATGCAAAAAATTAGCTGGGCGTGGTTCCATGCACCTGTAGTCCCAGCTACTTGGGAGGCTGAGGCAGGAGAATCGTTTGAACCCGGAAGGTGGAGGTTGCAGTGAGCCAAGATCTCACTACCGGACTCCAGCCTAGGCAACAGTGAGACTCTGTCTCAAAAAACAACAACAACAAATGCTGTCCAGTATGAACCTACTCATTCATAGCTGAGTTTCAATGTTCAGGTGCAGGAATAAAATGTTAGTTTGCTGGAGCAGATCTAACAAAATACAGAAAACAGAATGGTTTAAATAACAGCAGTGTAGATTCACCCAGTTCTGGAGTCCAGACGTCTGAGATTAAGGTGTCTGTAGACCTGTGTTTCCTCTGAGGGCTCCAGGGAGGAATCTTTCCTTGCCTTTTCTGGCAAGGAAGAAAAACACTGTCCATTCCAGTCCAGGTGCAGTGGTTCATGCCTGTTAATCTCAGCACTTTGGGAGACTGAGACAGGCAGATCATGAGTTCAAGAGTTTGAGACCAGCCTGGCCAACATGGTGAAACCCTGTCTCTACTAAAAAAAATACAAAAAAAAAAATTAGCTGGACATGGTGGTGGGCACCTGTAATCCCAGCTACTTGGGAGGTTGAGGCAGGAGAATCGCTTGAACCCAGGAGGCGGAGGTTGCAGAGAGTCGAGATCGCGCTGCTGCACTCCAGCCTGGGTGACAGAGTGAGACGCTGAGACTGTGTAAAAAAAAAGAAAAAGAAAGAAAAAAAAAGAAAAAGAAAAGAAAAAAAAAGCTGTGTACCAGGAACCGACTCATTCATAGCTGACTTTCAATGTTCAGGTACAGGAATAAAATGTTAGTTTGCTGGAGCAGATCTAACAAAATACAGAAAACAGAGTGGCTTAAATAACAGAAGTGTAGATTCACCCAGTTCTGGAGTCCAGACGTCTGAGATTAAGGTGTCTGCAGACCTGCGTTTCCTCTGAGGGATCCAGGGAGGAATCCTTCCTTGCCTTTTCTGGCATCTGTTACTTCCTTGACTTGGGGCAGCATCACTGCAAAGTTCCCATAGCTTCTCGCCATTCACATCCCATTTCCCCCTTTTCATAAGGACACCAGTTGCTAAGGACTAAATATCTGTGGCCAGGCGCGGTGGCTGATATAGTCGGCATGTTTGTCTTCTCCAAATCTCATGCTGAAATCTGATCCCTGATGTTGGAGGTGAGGCCAGGTGGAGGTGTTTGGGAATCATGCTGAAATCTGGTCTCCACTGTTACAGGTGAGGCCAGGTGGAAGTGTTTGGGTATCATGCTGAAATCTCGCCCCAGTGTTGGAGGTGAGGCCAGGTGGAAGTGTTTGGGTATCATGCTGAAATCTCGCCCCAGTGTTGGAGGTGAAGCCGGCTGCATGGAGGTGTTTGAGTCTCATGCAGAAATCTGGTCCCCAGTATTGGTGGTGAGGCTGGATGGAGGTGTTTCGCTCTCATGCTGAAATCTGGTCCCCAGTGTTGGGGGGGTGCTGGGTGAGGGTGTCTGGGTCTCACGCTGAAATCTGGTCCCCAATGTTGGAGGTGAGGCCGGCCGGATGGAGGTGTTTGGGTCTCATGCTGAAATCTGGCCCCAACTGTTGGAGGTGAGGCCAGTCGGATGGAGGTGTTTGGATCTCATGATGAAATCTGGTCCCCAAAGTTGGAGGTGAGTCTGGATGGAGGTGTTTGGGTCTCATGCTGAATTCTGGTCCCCAGTGTTAGGGGTGGGGCTGGGTGCGGGTGTTTGGGTCTCATGCTGAAATCTGGTCACCAATGTTGGAGGGGGTGCTGGGTGAGGGTGTTCGGGTCTCATGCTGAAATCTGGTCCCAAGTGTTAGGGGTGGGGCTGGGTGAGGGTGTTTGGGTCTCATGCTAAAATCTGGTCCCCAGTGTTGGTGGTGAGGCTGGATGGAGGTGTTTGGGTCTCATGCTGAAATCCGGTCCCCAGTGTTGGAGGTGGGTCTGGGTGAGGGTATTTGGGCCTCATGCTGAAATCTGGTCCCCAGTGTTGGTGGTGAAGCTGGATGGAGGTGTTCGGGTCTCATGCTGAAATCTGGTCCCAGGTGAGGTGAGGCTGGATGGAGGTGTTTGGGTCTCATGCTGAAATCTGGTCCCCAAGTGTTAGGGGTGGGGCTGGGTGAGGGTGTTTGGGTCTCATGCTGAAATCTTGTCCCCAGTGTTGGAGGTGGGGCTGGGTGAGGGTGTTTGGGTCTCATGCTGAAATCTGGCCCCCAGTGTTAGGGGTGGTGCTGGGTGAAGGTGTTTGGGTCTCATGCTGAAATCTGGTCCCCAGTGTTAGGGGTGGTGCTGGGTGAAGGTGTTTGGGTCTCATGCTGAAATCTGGTCCCCAGTGTTTGAGGTGGGTCTTGGGGAGGGTGTTTGTGTCTCATGCTGAAATCTGTTCCCCAGTGTTGCAGTTGGGGCTGGGTTGAAGCGTTTGGGTCTCATGATGAAATCCGGTACCCATTATTGGAGATGGGGCTGGGTGAGGGTGTTTGGGCTTCATGCTGAAATCTGGTCTCCAGTATTGGATGTGAGGCTGGGTGGAGGTGTTTGGGTCTCATGTTGAAATCTGGTCTCCAGTATTGGTGTTGAGGCCGGGTGGAGGTGTTTGGGTCTCATGTTGAAATCTGGTCTCCAGTATTGGTGTTGAGGCTGGGTGGAGGTGTTTGGGTCTCATGCTGAAATCTGGTCCCCAGTTTTGGAGGTGGGTCTGCGTGAGGGTGTTTGGGCCTCATGCTGAAATCTCGTCCCCAGTGTTGGAGGTGGGTCTGGGTGAGGGTATTTGGGCCTCATGCTGAAATCTGGTCCCCAGTGTTGGTGGTGAGGCTGGATGGAGGTGTTTGGGTCTCATGCTGAAAACTGGTCCCCAGCGTTAGGGGTGGGGCTCTGTGAGGGTGTTTGGGTCTCATGCTGAAATCTCATCCCCAGTGTTGGAGGGGGTGCTGGGTGAGGGTGTTTGGGTCTCATGCTGAAATCTGGTCCCAAGTGTTAGGGGTGGGGCTGGGTGAGGATGTTTGGGTCTCATGCTGAAATCTCGTCCGCAGTGTTGGAGGTGGGGCTGGCTGAGGGTGTTTGGGTCTCATGCTGAAATCTGGTCCCCAGTGCTGGTGGTGAAGCTGGATGGAGGTGTCTGGGTCTCAGGCAGAAATCTGTTTCCCAGTGTTGTAGGTAGGTCTGGGTGGAGGTGTTTGGGTCTCATGCTGTAATCTGGTCCCTGAAGTTGGAGGTGAGGCCAGGTGGAGGTGTTTGCGTCTCATGTTGAAATCTGGTCCCCAGTGTTGGGGATGAGGCCAGGTGGAGGTGTTTGGGTCTCATGCTGAAATCTGGTCCCCATTGTTGGAGGTGGGGCTGGGTGAGGGTGTTTGGGTCTCATGCTGATATCTTGTTCCCAGTGTTAGGGGTGGGGCTGGGTGAGCGTGTTTGGGTCTCATGCTGAAATCTTTTCACCGATGTTGGAGGTGGGTCTGGATGAGCGTGTTTGGGTGCCATGCGGAAATCTGGTCCCCAGTGTTGGAGGTGGGTCTGGGTGAGGGTGTTTTCGCCTCATGCTTAAATCTGGTCCCCATTGTTGGAGGTGGGGCTGGGTGGACGTGTTTGGGTCTCATGCTGATATCTTGTTCCCAGTGTTTGATGTGGGTCTGGGTGGAGGTGTTTGTGTCTTATGCTGAAATCTGGTCCCTGAAGTTGGAGGTGAGGCCAGGTGGAGGTGTTTGGGTCTCATTCTGAAATCTGCTCCCCAATGTTGGAGGTGGGGCTGGGTGGAAGTGTTTGGGTCTCATTCTGAAATCTGGTTCCCAGTGTTGGAGGTGGGGCTGGGTCGAGATGTTTGCATGTCATGCTGAAATCTGTCTCCAGTGTTGGAGGTGGGTCTGTGTGAGGGTGTTTAGGCGTCATGCTGAAATCTGGTCCCCAGTGTTGGTGGTGAGGCTGGATAGAGTTGTTTGGGTCTCATGCTGAAATCTTGTCCCCAGTGTTAGGGGTGGGGCTGGGTGAGGGTGTTTGGTTCTGATGCTGAAATCTGGTCACCAATGTTGGAGTTGGGTCTGGATGAGGGTGTTTGGGTCTCCTGCTGAAATCTGGTCCCCAGTGTTGGCGGTGGGGCTGGGTGGAAGTGTTTGGGTCTCATGCTGTAATCTGGTCCCCATTGTTGGAGGTGGGTCTGGATGAGGGTGTTTGGGTCTCATGCTGAAATCTGGTCTCCAGTGTTGGGGGTGAGGCCGGGTGGAGGTGTGTGTGTCTCATGCTGAAATCTGGTCCCCAGTGTTGGAGTTGGGGCTGCGTGAGTGTGTTTGGGTCTCATGCTGAAATCTGGTCCCCAGTTTGGAGGTGGGGCTGGGTGAGGGTGTTTGGGTCTATTGCTGAAATCTGGTCCCCATTGTTGGAGGTGAGTCTGTGTGAGGGTGTTTGGTCTCATGCTGGAATCTTGTTCCCAGTGTGGGAGGTGGGGCTGGGTGAGGGTGTTTGGGTCTCATGCTGAAATCTGGTCCCCCGTATTAGTGGTGAGGCTGGATGGAGGTGTTTGTTTCTCATGTTGAAATCTGGTCCCTAGTGTTGGAGGTGGGGCTCGGTGAGGGTGTTTGGTCTCGTGCTGAAATCTGGTCCCCATTGTTGGAGGTGAGTCTGTGTGAGGGTGTTTGGTCTCATGCTGAAATCTTGTTCCCAGTGATGGAGGTGGGGCTGGGTGAGGGGTTTGGGTCTCATGCTGAAATCTGGTTCCCAGTGATGGAGGTGGGACTGGGTGGAGGTGTTTGGGTCTCATGCTGAAATCTGTTCCCTGTTGGCGGAGGCGGTACCATGTAAGGGCATAGTGAGAAGGCACCGTCTGTGAACCAGGAAGCCGTTCCCACACACTGAATCTTCCACCCTTTGATCTTGAAATTCTAGCCAACAGAGCTGTGAGTGATAAACTCCCGTTATTTCAAACCAACCCAATTTATGACATCTCGTGATAGATGCTCAAATGGATGAAGACAACATTTATATTAGATTAGGGGCCCATTTGACTCCAGCCTGACCTCATCCTAACAGAACTAATTAATTACATCTGCAATGATGTACTTCCAAACAAGATCACAGTCTGAGGAACTGAGATTTAGGACGTCAATCTATGAATTTGGCATAGGACACATTTCCACTCGTAATAGTACAAATATCCAGAAAGCACGGTGTGGCCATAACCCCTGTCTGTTATTTGCTTGGGTTTCCCCAGAAATGGTATATTGGAATTTCCCATATATTCTTAGCCCCTGTAGGAAAGGTTTTTTGGGATAACAAAATAATAAGGAAAAAGGGGGGCAAACTAATGCATTAAGCCAGTCACTATTGCAGCTAAACAACTTGGAACATCATCTGGTGAGTATTGCACATTTTTTTTCTTTTTTTTTTTAAATTATACTTTAAGTTCTGGGGTACATGTGCAGCGTGGGCAGTTTTGTTACATAGGTATACATGTGCCATGGTGGTTTGCTGCACCCATCAACCCATTATATACATAAGGTATTTCCCCTAATGCTATCCCTCCCCTAGCCCCCCTCCCCTGACAGGTTCTGGTGTGTGATGTTCCCCTCCCTGTGTCCATGTGTTCTCATTGTTCAACTCCCACTTATGAGTGAGAACATGCAGTGTTTGGTTTTCTGTTCTTGTGTTAGTTTGCTGAGGATGATGGTTTCCAGCTTCATCCCTGTCCCTGCAAAGGACATGATTTTGTTCCTTTTGATGGCTGCAGAGTATTCCATGGTGTATATGTGCTACATTTTCTTTATCCAGACTATCACTGATGAGCATTTGGGTTGGTTCCAAGTTTTTGCTATTGTGAACAGTGCCACAATAAACATAAGTGTGCATGAGTCTTTATAGTAGAATGACTTATAATCCTTTGGGTATATACCCAGTAATGGGATTGCTGGGTCAAAAGGTACTTCTGGTTCTAGATCCTTGAGGAATTAGCACACTGTCTTCCTCAAGGTATTCACATTTTTTACATTCTCTTGTCTTCCCTGCCTTACTGTGGGCAAGGCGGTCACACTTCATTTACCACAGCTCCCAATTCTCCACAGCAATAACCTTTTGCAGATGCAAGACCTGCCTATACCTCTAGGGTGTTACAAGTGAAAATGTCAAATCAGAAATTGTCATTTTAAAAGCTTCTCTTCCTGGAGGCTGGAAGAATACTGCCATGATGCTCTAACACTCTTCCTTTACCAAGAACACGGCGGGGTGATCATTCCCTTTGTCTTAAACTCAGAATGTCAAACTGAAGAAATGAAGGCTCAGGTTGTCCTATAAAACTTGTGCGCTGCACTGCAGCAAACACACACACACAAAGTTGTAATCGTGTTGAGTCAACAGAGAGCATTTACCTTCAAGCTTTTGATAATTTTATAATCTCAATAGAGGAGAACGTGCGAGGCGGCTCCAGAAACACAGCCTGAATCTGTAAAGCCAAATGCAGGCACAAGCAGAGTCTACAGACAGCATCTGTAGAAATTGGCTGACACAACTTTGTCTCCCAAATCTGGAGTCATTTCAGAATCGGAGACCCTGTTTGTTCTGTTGGCATGTCAAGGAGAAAGCAACCATCCTTAAATTCAATGCAGTGTAAATTGTCGTGTTTTGCCGGAGAAAAAGCAGAAAGCTAACCCAAATATTGGCACGTTTACTTGATCCTGGAATAAAATGTTCAAGAGTTACAGATACATGACCCTCCTCTCCATGGTCTTCCCCTGTCTTGACTGTGGGAGAATCAATGTCTGTTGCTCATAAGTCACCCAGTCTATGGTATTCTGTGTTAGCAGCCTGAAATGGACTAAGGCATCTCATAAGAAGAAGAGGTGAGGACACAGACACACACAGAGGGATGACCCTGTGAGGGCACAGGGAGAAGACGGCGTCTACAAGCCCAGGAGAGAGGCCTCAGGAGGAACCAGCCCTGCCCATACCTGGATCTCAGACTTCCAGCCTCCAGGACTGTGGGAGAATCAATGTCTGTTGTTTATAAGTCACCCAGTCTATGGTATTCTGTGTTAGCAGCCTGAAATGGACTAAGGCATCTCATAAGAAGAGGAGGTGAGGACACAGACACACACAGAGGGATGACCCTGTGAGGCTGCAGGGAGAAGACAGTGTCTCCAAGCCAAGGAGAGAGGCCTCAGGAGGAACCAGCCCTGCCCACACCTGGATCTCAGACTTGCAGCCTCCAGGACTGTGGGAGAATCAATGTCTGTTGGTTAAGCCACCTAGTCTGTGAGACTTTGCTATGGCAGCATGGGTGAAACCCCATAATATCCACATCTTGGCTTAGGTCAGTACATTTGCATGATAAACACTTAATCTATTAACCCATTAATTCATTAATCTATGTGTGGAGTAATCCATTCATGAGGGCAAAGGTCTCATGGCCCTGTCACCTCTTAACAGAACCATTTTCCAATACTGCCACTTTGGGGATTACATTTCTTTCTTTCTTTCTTTCTTTTTTTGAGACAGAATTTCACTCGGTCACCCAGGCTGGAGTGCAGTGAGATGATCTCAGCTCACTGCAACCTCCGCCTCCTGGGTTTACCTGATTCTCCTGCCTCAGCCTCCCGAGTAGCTGGGATTACAGGTGTCTGCCAGCACGCCTGGTTAATTGTTTGTATTTTTAGTAGAGACAGGGTTTCACCATGTTAGCCAGGTTGGTCTCCATCTCCTGACCTTAACTGATCTGCCCGCCTCGGACTCCCAAAGTGCTGGGATGACAGGCGTGAGCCAACACACCCGGCTGCTGCTGTTACTTTTATTCTTACTCTCACTACTGCTCTCATGCGGTGGTAGTATAATATTATTACTCTTGTTTTTATTTTTTTTATTATTATTATTTTTGAGATGGAGTCTCATTCTGTCGCCCAGGCTGGAGTGCAGTGGCGCAATCTCGACTCACTGCAAGCTCCATCTCCCGGGTTCACGCGATTCTCCTGCCTCAGTCTCCCGAGTAGCTGGGATGACAGGCACCTGCCACCACGCCCAGCTAATTTTTTGTATTTTTAGTAGAGATGGGGTTTCACCATGTTAGCCAGGATGGTCTCTATCTCCTGATCTCAAGTGATCCACCTGCCTCGGACTCCCAAAGTGCTGGGATGACAGGCGTGAGCCACCAGACCGGGCTGCTGCTGTTAACTTTATTATTACTCCTACTACTGCTCTCCTGCGGTGGTAGTATCATATTACTGTTGTTATTACTGCTCTCATGTGGCGGTGGTATCATATTACTCTTGTTATTACTGCTCTCATGCAGCGGTAGTATCATATTACTGTTGTGATTATGACTGCTCTCATGTGGCGGTAGTATCATATTACTGTTGTTATTACTGCTCTCATGTAGTGGTAGTATCATATTACTGTTGTGATTATGACTGCTCTCATGTAGTGGTAGTATCATATTACTGTTGTGATTATGACTGCTCTCATGTGGCGGTAGTATCATATTACTGTTGTGATTACTGCTCTCATGCGGCGGTAGTATCATATTACTGTTGTGATTATGACTGCTCTCATGTGGCGGTAGTATCATATTACTGTTATTACTGCTCTCATGCGGCGGTAGTATCATATTACTGTTGTGATTATGACTGCTCTCATGTAGTGGTAGTATCATATTACTGTTGTGATTATGACTGCTCTCATGTAGTGGTAGTATCATATTACTGTTGTTATTACTGCTCTCATGTGGCGGTGGTATCATATTACTGTTGTTATTACTGCTCTCATGCGGTGGTGGTATCATATTACTCTTGTTATTACTGCTCTCATGCGGCGGTAGTATCATATTACTGTTATTACTGCTCTCATGCGGCGGTAGTATCATATTACTGTTATTACTGCTCTCATGCGGCGGTAGTATCATATTACTGTTGTGATTATGACTGCTCTCATGTAGTGGTAGTATCATACTACTGTTGTTATTACTGCTCTCATGCGGCGGTAGTATATTGCTGTTGTTATTACTGCTCTCATGTGGCGGTGGTGTCATGTTACTGTTGTGATTATTACTGCTCTCATGTAGTGGTAGTATCATATTACTGTTGTTATTACTGCTCTCATGCGGCGGTAGTATCATATTACTGTTATTACTGCTCATGCGGCGGTAGTATCATATTACTGTTGTGATTATGACTGCTCTCATGTAGTGGTAGTATCATATTACTGTTGTGATTACTGCTCTCATGTGGCGGTAGTATCATATTACTGTTATTACTGCTCTCATGTGGCGGTAGTATCATATTACTGTTGTTATTACTGCTCTCATGCGGCGGTAGTATCATATTACTGTTGTTATTACTGCTCTCATGTGGCGGTAGTATCATATTACTGTTGTGATTATGACTGCTCTCATGTAGTGGTAGTATCATATTACTGTTGTGATTATTACTGCTCTCATGTGGCGGTAGTATCATATTACTGTTGTTATTACTGCTCTCATGCAGCGGTAGTATCATATTACTGTTGTGATTATGACTGCTCTCATGTAGTGGTAGTATCATATTACTGTTGTGATTACTGCTCTCATGTGGCGGTAGTATCATATTACTGTTATTACTGCTCTCATGTGGCGGTAGTATCATATTACTGTTGTGATTACTGCTCTCATGCGGCGGTAGTATCATATTACTGTTGTGATTATTACTGCTCTCATGTGGCGGTAGTATCATATTACTGTTGTTATTACTGCTCTCATGCAGCGGTAGTATCATATTACTGTTGTGATTATGACTGCTCTCATGTAGTGGTAGTATCATATTACTGTTGTGATTATGACTGCTCTCATGTAGTGGTAGTATCATATTACTGTTGTGATTATGACTGCTCTCATGTAGTGGTAGTATCATATTACTGTTGTTATTACTGCTCTCATGTGGCGGTAGTATCATATTACTGTTGTGATTATGACTGCTCTCATGCGGCGGTAGTATCATATTACTGTTGTGATTATGACTGCTCTCATGCGGCGGTAGTATCATATTACTGTTGTTGTTATTACTGCTCTCATGCAACGGTAGTATCATATTACTGTTGTGATTACTGCTCCCATGCGGCGGTAGTATCATATTACTGTTGTGATTATGACTGCTCTCATGTAGTGGTAGTATCATATTACTGTTGTTATTACTGCTCTCATGCAGCGGTAGTATCATATTACTGTTGTTATTACTGCTCTCATGCGGCGGTAGTATCATATTACTGTTATGACTGCTCTCATGCGGCGGTAGTATCATATTACTGTTATTACTGCTCTCATGCGGCGGTAGTATCATATTACTGTTGTTATTACTGCTCTCATGCAGCGGTAGTATCATATTACTGTTGTGATTATGACTGCTCTCATGTAGTGGTAGTATCATATTACTGTTGTGATTATGACTGCTCATGCGGCGGTAGTATCATATTACTGTTGTTATTACTGCTCTCATGCGGCGGTAGTATCATATTACTGTTATTACTGCTCTCATGTGGCGGTAGTATCATATTACTGTTATTACTGCTCTCATGCAGCGGTAGTATCATATTACTGTTGTGATTACTGCTCTCATGCGGCGGTAGTATCATATTACTGTTGTGATTATGACTGCTCTCATGTAGTGGTAGTATCATATTACTGTTGTTATTACTGCTCTCATGCGGCGGTAGTATCATATTACTGTTGTTATTACTGCTCTCATGCGGCAGTAGTATCATATTACTGTTGTTGCTCTCATGCGGCGGTAGTATCATATTACTGTTGTTATTACTGCTCTCATGCAGCGGTAGTATCATATTACTGTTGTGATTATGACTGCTCTCATGTAGTGGTAGTATCATATTACTGTTGTGATTATGACTGCTCTCATGTAGTGGTAGTATCATATTACTGTTGTGATTATGACTGCTCTCATGTAGTGGTAGTATCATATTACTGTTGTTATTACTGCTCTCATGTGGCGGTAGTATCATATTACTGTTGTGATTATGACTGCTCTCATGCGGCGGTAGTATCATATTACTGTTGTGATTACTGCTCTCATGTGGCGGTAGTATCATATTACTGTTGTTGTTATTACTGCTCTCATGCAACGGTAGTATCATATTACTGTTGTGATTACTGCTCCCATGCGGCGGTAGTATCATATTACTGTTGTGATTATGACTGCTCTCATGTAGTGGTAGTATCATATTACTGTTGTGATTATGACTGCTCTCATGTAGTGGTAGTATCATATTACTGTTGTGATTATGACTGCTCTCATGTAGTGGTAGTATCATATTACTGTTGTTATTACTGCTCTCATGCGGCGGTAGTATCATATTACTGTTATTACTGCTCTCATGCAGCGGTAGTATCATATTACTGTTGTTATTACTGCTCTCATGCGGCGGTAGTATCATATTACTGTTGTTGTTATTACTGCTCCCATGCGGCGGTAGTATCATATTACTGTTGTGATTATGACTGCTCTCATGCGGCGGTAGTATCATATTACTGTTGTTATTACTGCTCTCATGCGGCGGTAGTATCATATTACTGTTATTACTGCTCTCATGCGGCGGTAGTATCATATTACTGTTATTACTGCTCTCATGCAGCGGTAGTATCATATTACTGTTGTGATTACTGCTCTCATGCGGCGGTAGTATCATATTACTGTTGTTGTTATTACTGCTCATGCGGCGGTGGTGTCATGTTACTGTTGTGATTATGACTGCTCTCATGTAGTGGTAGTATCATATTAGTGTTGTTATTACTGCTCTCATGCGGCGGTAGTATCATATTACTGTTGTTGTTATTACTGCTCTGATGCGGCGGTGGTGTCATGTTACTGTTGTGATTATGACTGCTCTCATGTAGTGGTAGTATCATATTACTGTTGTTATTACTGCTCTCATGCGGCAGTAGTATCATATTACTGTTGTTGCTCTCATGCGGCGGTAGTATCATATTACTGTTGTGATTATGACTGCTCTCATGCAGCGGTGGTATCGTATTACTGTTGTAGTTATTACTGCTCTCACACGGCGGTGGTATTGTATTACTGTTGTTGTTATTACTGCTCTCATGCAGTGGTAGTATCATATTATTACTGTTGTTCTTTTTATTGTGACCACCAGCCTTGTGCCCACTCACACTTTCTTCCTTACAATCAAGTGCTCCAAGTCCCCAGAATAGGAAACGCAAGCTGCTCTGTGATTGTTGCTGCTGTGGATCTCCTCAAAGGACGTCCTTTGTAGAAATCCAGCTCCATTAACCTTTCTTCCATTTGCTACTTTTCAGCAACCTCACACAACTCCATGCCACCACCTTTGCTCTAAAATTGCTTTTGCAAAGTGCCCACTAGAGGATTTACACCAAAACAAAAGAGCAGCGTGCCATCACAAGGTCAATGCAAACTCCACTCTTTGAGTTAAAAAACAAAAATAAAAAAAAAGAATTTGCTACAGTTTCCTTTGAGCCAACGAGGTTTTCACAGATATTAAAGTCCATTTTTTTCAGCCTGTGCAGTGGCTGACAATCAGCTTGGAGCTGGACGGACAGGTGGACCTGACACGGATGCCTGCTGACAGCCGGCTTGAAAGATTTGGGCCAGGCACGGTGGCTCACACGTGTCATCCCAGCACTTTGGGAGGCTGAAGCGAGCGGATCACCTCGGCCAGGAGTTCGAGACTAGCCTGGCCAACATGACGAAACCCCGTCTCTACTAAATATACAAAGTTAGCCAGGCCTGGTGGTGAATGCCTGTAATCCCAGCTACTCAGGAGGCTGAGGCTGGAGAATCACTTGAACCCCAGAGGTGGAGTTTGCAGTGAGCCAAAATAGGGTCATTGCACTCCAGCCTGGGAGACAGAGCGAGACTCTGTCTCAAAATAAAATAAAATAAAATAAAATAAAATAAAATATCAAAGAATAAAAAAATTAAAAATTAAAATAAATAAATAATGAAAATTACATATATATTCTGGTTAGATAAAGAATTGAATGGATGCCAAAGTGTGTCTATACAGGCATGCCTCATTTGATTGCAGTTTGCTTTATGGCACCGTCAGACACTATTTGTTGTTGTTGTTTACAAATTGCAGGAATGTCGTAACCCCACCCATGGAGAAAATCTATTAGCTTTTTTAGCAATAAAATAGATTTGAAATTGGGGTAGGGGGAGGGGGGAGGGATAGCATTAGGAGATATACCTAATGTAAATGATGAGTTCATGGGTGCAGCACACCAACATGGCACATGTATACATATGTAACAAACATGCACGTTGTGCGCATGTACCCTAGAACTTAAACTATAATTAAGAAAAAAGTAGATTTAAATTAAAGCATGCATATTTTTAAGACATAATGCTATTGCACGTTTAATAGGCTACAATATGGTTATAAACATACCTTTTATATGCACTTTTATTTTATTTTATTTTATTTTTGAGATGGAGTCTTGCTCTGTCACCCAAACTGGAGTGCAGTGGTGAGGTCTCCACTCACTGCAACCTCCGCCTAGCAGCTTCAAGCAATTCTCCTGCCTCAGCCTCTTGAGTAGCTGGGATTACAGGCAGGAGTCACCACGCCCAGGTAATTTTGTACTTTTACTATAGATGGGGTTTCGCCATGCTGGTCAGGCTGGTCTCGAACTCCTGACCTCAGGTGATCTACCCGCATCGGCCTCCATATATATATATATATATATTTTTTTTAAGTCTCTACAGATTAGAAAAAATAAATTAACTGGGCATGGTGGTGCACACCTGCGGTCCCAGCTATGCTGACACTGAGGTGGGAGGGTTACCTGAGCCCAGGAGATCGAGGCTGCAGTGAGCTATGATCGTGCCACTGCACTTGAGCCTGGGTGACAGAGTGAGACATTATCAGGGGAACTCCCATTTGTAAAACCATCAGATCAAAAGAAACCAAAAGAAAAAGAAAATCGGCCAAAAGAAAAAGAAAAAAGATTGTTCTATTCAGATATAATTCACATCCCACACAATTCACTCATTTTTCAAGTAGAGACAAGGTTTCAGCATGTTGGCCAGGCTGGTCTCGAACTCCCGACCTCAGGTGATCCACCCACCTCGGCCTCCCAAAATGCTGGGATGACAGGCGTGAGCCACCATGCCTGGCCGACAGTCACTTTTAGAATGTCAACAGTGGATGCTAGGATGGGGTCTCCTACCTCTGCCTGTCACGTGCACCGGCCCCTCTGGTCATGGACAATTCAATTTACCATTGAGTGGCTTTTAGGATATTCACAGATGCAGAGAAGCATGACTGTGGGTAGATTACAATATTTTCATCCCTTGCAGAAGACAAAGAAACCCCACACTCTTTCCCCATGACCCCACTCCCTTCCCACCCCCACCCCAGCCCCTGTGAAACCACTAATCTGCTTTGTGTCTGGACTGGTCTATTCTGAACCTTTCATCTGAATGAAATCACAGGATACGTGGTCTTCAGCGACAGGCTTCCGTTCACTGAGAATAATGTTTTCAAAGCCGTGGTATTCTCCCGACGTCAATAGCACCACGCTCTATGCTTTACCAAAGAAACAAAACAGGGTTGGTCTCCGGAAACACCGAGAACCGTGCCTCCTGCCTACGGAACGGATGCTGAGACGAGGCCCCAGGGGCCAAGAGGGTTATGATGGAGTGTAAATCACTCGTACCTTCAAAGAGGTCATTAGAAGGAACGGAAGGTCCTGTTACCAATGGTAGTTCCATTTTTACACCCCCAGACTGGCTGTTGTTACCAGCTGTTTTTTTTTGTTAATTGCTATAAAGCCTTCTCAGCTTGTCTTCAACATACATGCTTGGCCGGGTCCTTACTTGGTTAGATGCCTCTGAAATCCTTTTATTTATTTTACTTTTTATATTATTTATTTTTTATCATTTTTTTTTTTAGATGGAGTCCCCCTCTTGTCGCCCAGGCTGGAGTGTAGTGGTGCAATCTCAGCTCACTGCAACCTCTGCCTCCGGGGTTCTAAGAGATTCTCCTGCCTCAGCCTCCTGAGAAGCTGGGATTACAGGCGCCCGACACCACACCCGGCTAATTTTTGTATTTTTAGTAGAGACGAGGTTTCACCATGTTGGCCAGGCTGGTCTCGAAGTCCTGACATCAGGTGATCCACCTGCCTTGGCCTCCCAAAGTGCTGGGATGACAGGCATGAGCTAGTGCACCTGACCTATTTTATTAATTATTTATTTTATATATATATATTTTTTGAGACAGAGTCTCCCTCTTGTCGCCCAGGCTGGAGTGCAGTGGCCCAATCTCAGTTCACTGCAACCTCCACCTCCCGGATTCTCAGAGATTCTCCTGCCTCACCTTGCTGAGAAGCTGGGAGTACAGGCGCCCGACACCACACCCACCTAATTTTTGTATTTTTCGTAGAGATGGGGTTTCACCATGTTGGCCAGGCTGGTCTCGAACACCTGACATCAGGTGATCCACCCACCTTGGCCTCCCAAAGTGCTGGGACTACAGGCGTGAACCACCGTGCCTGGCCTATTTTATTATTTATTTATTTTTATTATATTATGTATTTTTTTGAGACAGAGTCTCCCTCTTGTCGCCCAGGCTGGAGTGCAATGGCTTGATCTCGGCTCACTGCAACCTCCACCTCCTGGATTCTAAGATTCTGCCTCAGCCTCCTGAGTAGCTGAGATTACAAGCACCCGACACCACACCCAGCTAATTTTTGTATTTTACTAGAGATGGGGTTTCACCATGTTGGCCAGGATGGTCTCAAACCCCCAACCTCAGGTGATCTGCCCACCTCGGCCTCCCAAAGTGCTGGGATTACAGGCATGAGCCACTGCACCTAGCCTTTTTAATTAATTAATTTTTTATTTTATGATTTTTTTTGAGATGGAGTCTCCCTCTTGTCACCCAGGCTGGAGTGCAGTGGCCCAATCTGGCTCACTGCAACCTCCGCCTCCCGGGTTCTAAGAGATTCTCCTGCCTCAGCCTCCTGAGTAGCTGGGATTACAGGCGCCCGACAGCACACCCGGCTAATTTTTGTATTTTTAGTAGAGATGGAGTTTCACCATATCGGCCAGGCTGGTCTCGAACTCCTGACCTTGTGATCCACCCTCCTCGGCCTCCCAAAGTGGTGGGATGACAGGCATAAGCTGCCGCACCTGGCCTGAAATCCCTTTAAATAGTCCACCCGCAACAGCTTCCTGTAACAGGACATTCACTCTCCTCACCCCCATGTAGACAAATTATGAGGCGGCAAGAACAAAATAATGGAAATTAGTTATCCCTCGGGCTTAGAGCAAGAACGGCACAGCCTAGCACCCCAGCCATGCTCAACTGGACTCTGAGCAATCCTCTGAGACGAGACGAACTCACATTTCCTCTCAGAATAAAAATGACCTTATTATCTTCACTGATTGCTAAAGAAGAAAAAGACGTTGATGTGAATGGGGTTGAAACATGTACCCCTCAAATTCACGTCTGCTCAGAAGCTCAAGTGTGACCTCGTTTGGAAATAGAGCCTTTGCAGATGCAATTCGTAAAGATTTGGTCAGAATGAAGCGGAGTTGGCCCCTGATGCAACATGATACTGTCATTGTAAGAGGGGAAAAATGTGGCCAGGTGCAGTGGTTCACACCTGTAATCCCAGCACTTTGGGAGGCCGAGGCGGGCAGATCACCTGAGGTCAAGAGTTTGACACAAGCCTGGCCAATTTGGAGAAACCCCATCTGTACTAAAAATTCAAAAATTAGCCGGGCGTGCTGGCAGGCGCTTGTAATCCCAGCTACTCAGGAGGCTGAGGCAGGAGAATTGCATGAAGCTGAGGCAGAGGTTGCAGTGAGCCGAGATCGCGCCACCGCCCTCCAGCTTGGGCAACAAGAGCGAAACTCCATCTCAAAAATAGTAAACTAACTAATTAATTAAAAAGCGTTGCAAATATTTATGAAACGCAAACCGGTCACACCTGCCACCTTCCTTTTCTGCTGAATCCAGATAACCTCTGCGCGTAGATTGAGTTGCTGCACCGTCGTCGTCGTGATGTTCTCCCACCAGTCCCATTTTCTCCACTGGAAAATGTGTTGGGTTTCTTTCTCGGTGGGGACCATCCACGCTATTTTTTTCACCCTGTCAGTTGCATGGAAGCTTTGCTGTTACCTGGCTGTGTCCTGGTCCTTGGACATGAGATCCCTCTGGAGTTTTCTCCATGTATAAATGGCACGGCAACTCAGTCTGATCCTTAATGTTTCATTTGCCTTTTTTTTTTTTTTTGAGACGGAGTCTTGCTCTGTCACCCAGGCTGGAATAGTGCAGTGGCTCTGTCTCGGCTCACTGCAACCTCTGCCTCCCGGGTTCAAGTGATTCTCCTGCCTCAGCCTCCTCAGTAGCTGGGATTACAGGTGCACACCAAGACGCCCGGCTAATTTTTGTATTTTTAGTAGACACGGGGTTTCACCATATTGGCCAGGCTAGTGTTGAACTCCTGACCTCGTGATCCTCCCACCTCGGCCTCCCAAAGTGCTGGGATTACAGGTGTGAGCCGCCGCGCCCGGTCCATTTTCCATTTTTATCCTTAGGAAAAAAAAAAATCTCATGGAAAAGGAATTGCTGTCCAACAACTTGTCAAAAAGGGTCTCACCATTTGCAAGGCATGAGCTTGCCTATTCTGCCGCTGTTCTAAACCCTGGAGAACACGACTAGAGTTATTTTTTTCATCTTTGTGTGTTTGTCCATTTCAGGCTGCTATAAAAATACCTAATCCTAGCACTTTGAGAGGCTGAGGTGGGTGGATTGCCTGAGCTCAGGAGTTCAAGACCAGCCTGGCCAACATGGTGAAACCCCATCTGTACTAAAAATACAAATAAATTAGCCAGGCATGGTGGCAGGTGCCTGTAATCCCAGCTACTCAGGAGGCTGAGGCAGGAGAATTGCTTGAACCCGGGAAGCGGAGGTTGCGGTGAGCCAAGATCGCGCCACTGCACTCCAGCCTGGTGACAGAGCGAGACTCCGTCTCAAAACAAAACAAAAAAACAGTACCATAGACTGGGTGGCTTATAAACAACTGACATTTTTTGCTCACAGTTCAGGAGGCTGGAAGTCCAAGATCAAGGCGTGGCAGATTCGGTGTCTGGTGAGGACCCACTTCCTGGTTCATAGATGGTGCCTTCTGGCTGTGTCCTCACCTGGTGGAAGGGGTGAAGGAACTCTCTGGGGTCCCTTTTCTCAGGGCACTAATTGCATTCATGGGGCCCCACCCTCACCACCTCATCACCTTCCAATGGCCCCACCTCCCAACACCATCCTCTTGGGGTTGAGGATTTCAACACAGGAATGATGGTGGGACGTCACTATTCTGTCCATAAACATTTTCCCCACTTTTTCTGGGGCTGGAAGCTTCATGTTTCAGGATAAGCAGTTGACCTTTACATCTCACAGTTCTGGAGGTTGAGTGTTCAGGATCAAGACGTGAGATTCAGTATCTGGTGGAAACCCCACTTCCTGGTTCATAGACAGCACTTTCTGTCTGTATCCTCACACGGTGGAACGGACGATGGAGCTCTCTGGGGTCCCTTTTGTAGGACAGGAATGCCCTTAATGAGGCTCCAACCTTACGACCTTATCATCTTCCAAAACCATCACCTCCGAAGGCCATCACTCAAGAGTGAGGAATCCACATGAATACCTTATCATCTCCCAAAAGCACCACCTCCTAACGCCATTTCTCAAGAGTAAGGATTCAACATGAACTTGGGTGAACACAGACATGAAAATCATTGTACCATGCCCTTGCTGAGTGGTCCGGATCAGGGTCTCTCTCACTGTGCACCCTGCCTGCAGCTCCCACCATTGACTCACCCCAGCCCAGGGATGTGCTGTGCTGGGCACTGAGTAATATTTCTAATACACATGAGCCTGTGGTGCAGGGTGCGTGTCCCATTCACTGCTGGAAGCAGCTCGCTGAAGAGCCCAGCTCCAAGCCAAAACCCTCTATGTGAACCCATATATATATATATATATATATATATATGTCTTATATACATATATGTATATGCATCATATACACGTATGTGTGTGTCATATACACATATGTGTGTTATATACTTACATGTATGGGTGTTATATGTACACACGTGTGTTATATAGACATAACTATTATATAACTATGTATTATACATTATCCATTATACACATAACTATATATGTTATAGAGTGTTATACATACTAATATGATTTCTATTGCAGATAATGTAATTTGAAATAGACTATATCTGTATGTAAAGTGGGGAAATTCTATGTTTCCTATGAAATTGCACTATTATATAATTTTTTTCAGACAGAGTCTTGCTGTGTCGCCCAGGCTGGAGTGCAATGGCGCAATCTCGGCTCACTGCAACCTCCGCCTCCTGGGTTCAAGTGATTCTCCTGCCTCAGCCTCCCGAGTAGCTGGGATTACAGGAGCCTGCCATCATGCCCGGCTAATTTTTGTATTTTTGGTAGAGACAGGGTTTCACCATGTTGGCCAGGCTGGTCTGGAATTCATGACCTCATGATCCACCTGCCTCAGCCTCCCAAAATGCTGGGATTACAGAAGTGAGTCACCGCGCCAGGTCCACTATTATATATTCTATCATATAGCCAAATATATATATATATATAATGCATTATCTGTATTACATATCGTATTTACTATTATGCACATATAACTATTGTAGACAATATGATATATAATAAGATATACATACATCCATATTGCAATCTGGAAAAACCTTATATTTTCTATAAATTGCACTACTGGATATGCAAACATATACCATATCATACTTTATACATAACACATGATATGTTATAATGTATAATATGGTAACTATCCTGGAGGATAGAATATATGTATATCTGTATGCAAGGTGGGAAAATCTAATTTTTTTCTACAAAGTTGAACTATTCTGTGTATAATATATATAATAAAACACATATAGGCCGGGTGAGGTGGCTCACGCCTGTCATCCCAGTACTTTGGGAGGCCAAGGTGGGTGGATCACGAGGTCAGGAGATTGAGACCATCCTAGCTAACACGGTGAAACCCTGTCTCTACTAAAAATACAAAAATTAGCCAGGCATGGTGGCGGGTGCCTGTAGTCCCAGATACTCAGGAGGCTGAGGCAGGAGAATTGCTTAAACCTGGGAGGCAGAGGTTGCAGTCAGTGAAGATTGCGCCACTGCACTGCAGCCTGGGTGACAGAGCGAGACTCCTGCAAAAGAAAAAATATATATGTATATCTTTAATATATATATAAAGATATATATCTTTATTTATAAATATATATCTTTTATATATATAAAAGATATATATTTATAAATGTATATCTTATATATAATATATATAATAAAGATATATAATATATATAAAGATATATATAATATATAATAAAGACATATATCTTTTTATATGTATAAAGATATATGTCTTTATTTATAAATATATATCTTTTATATATATAAAAGATATATGTCTTTATAAATAGATATATCTTTAATATATAAAGATGTCTTTATGGATAAATATATATCTTTTATATATAAAGATACATGTCTTTATAAATATATATTTTATATATAATATATATCTTTATATATACTTTATCTATAACATATATATCCCATGTATAATATATATTATATATACATATCTTTTTAAACAATTGCACGATTATATATTCTGCATCTTATAGATGTTTTATAGGTGTTATAAAGTACATATAACACAAAGCATGACACTATGCTGCATTTTGTATGCCAGCACACTGCAGAATACCATGACTGAAACAGCCTCTCACCCGTCCCACTAACCCTCCTTCTAGCCCTTGTTTTCTTTTCTCACTGAGTCTCAGGGGATGCCGGCCCCCCGAAACGCAGAGCTGAGCATTTTGGCGCGGCCACCGGGTAACCCTACAGAAACAGCCTCTCTGTCTCCACAGGCTTCCAGGCATCCCAGGGAAATTTGAAAGCTTCACTGCATTCTAACCTGGTGACAGAGCACGACTCTGTCTCAAAAAAAAAAAAAAAAAAAAAAAAGAAAGCTCCCCCGGACAAGGACGGGATCAGATTACAAATTGGCTTTGCAGGGCAGCTGGCCACAGGCAACTGAAAATTGATTCATCTTGGCTGGCCTGTATTGATGGGATGTCTTGCAGCCAAGCTGCTGAAGCCGCGTCCAAACTGGAGGCTCCTCACTGACTCCTGAGGGCACCCCCAACCCACTAGGGATGGCGGAGTTAAGGTGCAGAACACCTGGCTAGCTCAGCGGTTTCTCAAACTCTCTGCATTTCACCACCCCTTGCTGATACCTTAGGACTCCTGTTACCCAGCCGAAACCTCCCATCAAATAAACGTGGGTCTCTGGGGGTGGATCCTAGCCTCAGTATTTTCTAAAAGCTCCCATAAAATGCCTTTGTGCACCCAGAGTTCAGAGCCACTGCTTAGGAGTAACTCACCACAGGTCATAGATGCTTGCTAACAACAGAATAAAATGGCACCAACCCGTGAAAACGTTTGGATCCTACCAGAAAAGAAAGCCAAAAGTTAGTGCTGCAATGAACATTCGTGCGCACGTGTCTTTATGCTAGAACAATTTATTTATTATTATTATTATTATTATTATTATTGAAACCAAGTCTCACTATGTCACCCAGGCTGGAGTGCAGTGGCAGGATCTTAGCTCACTGCAACCCCTGCCTCCCGGGTTCAAGTGATTCTCCTCTGTCAGCCTCCCAAGTAGCTGGGACTACAGGCATGAGCCACCATGCCTGGCTGATTTTTGTATTTGTAGTAGAGATGGGGTTTCACCATGTTGGCCAGGCTGGTCTCAAACTCCTGACCTCAGGTGATCCGCCTGCCTCAGCCTCCCAAAGTGTTGGGATTACAAGTGTGAGCCACCATGCCTGACAAATTTTTGTATTTGTAGTAGAGATGGGGTTTCACCATGTTGGCCAGGCTGGTCTCAACCTCCTGACCTCAGGTGATCCACCCGCCTCAGCCTCCCAAAGTGTTGGGATTACTGGCGTGAGCCAGCTAAATTTTGAATTTTTAGTAGAGACAGGGTTTCACCATGTTAGGCTGGTCTCGATCTCCTGACCTTGTGATCCGCCTGCCTCGGCCTCCCAAAGTGCTGGGACTACAGGCGTGAGCCACCACGCCTGGCTAATTTTTGTATTTGTAGTAGAGATAGGGTTTCACCATGTTGGCCAGGCTGGTCTCAAACTCCTGACCTCAGGTGATCTGCCTGCCTCGGCCTCCCAAAGTGTTGGAATTACTGGCGTGAGCCAGATAATTTTTGTATTTTTAGTAGAGACAGGGTTTCACCATATTGCTCAGGCTGGTCTCGATCTCCTGACCTTGTGATCTGCCTACCTTGGCCTCCCAAAGTGCTGGGATTCCTGGCGTGAGCCACCGTGCCCAGCTAATTTTTGTATTTTTAATAGAGACGGGGTTTCACCATTTTGCTCAGGCTGGTCTCGATCTCCTGACCTTGTGATCCACCTGCCTCGGCCTCCCAAAGTGCTGGGATTACAGGCGTGAGCCTCCGTGCCCGGCCATTTACACTAGAACAATTTATATTCCGTCAGGTATATACCCAATCATGGGATTGCTGGGTAGAATGGTAATTCTGTTTTTAGTTCTTTGAGGAGTTGTCACAGTGCTTTCCACAATGGTTGAACTAATTTATATTGCCACCAGCAGCATATATGCGTTCCCTTTTCTCTGTAACCTCGTCAGCATCTGCTGTTTTTCGATTTTGTAGTAATAGCCATTCTGACTGAAGTGAGATGGTATCTCATTGTGGTTTTGATTTGCAATTCTCTAATGATTAGTGATGTTGAGAATTTTTCTCATATGACTCTTGACCATACGTATGCCTTCTTTTCAAAACTACCTGTTCATGTCACTATTCACAACAGCAAAAAGATGGAATCAATATCAATGCCCATCAGTGATAAACCGGATAAAGAGAATGTGGTAGCTATACACTGTGGAATACTATACAACCATAAAAATGAACAAGATGGCCAGGCGTGGGGGCTCACGCCTGTAATCCCAGCACTTCGGGAGGCCAAAGGGGGTGGATCACCTGAGGTTGGGAGTTCAAGACCAGCCTGTCCAACATGGAGAAATCCCATCTCTACTAAAAATACAAAATTAGCCGGGCGTGGTGGTGCATGCCTGTAATCCCAGCTACTCGGGAGGCTGAGGCAGGACAATGGCTTGAACCCGGGAGGCGGAGGTTGCAGTGAGCTGAGATCGTGCCATTGCACTCCATCCTGGGCAACGAGAGCAAAAACCCTGTCTCAAAAAAAAAGAAAAAGAAAAAAAAATGAGATCATGTCCTCTGCAAGGACATGGCTGGAACTGGAGACTATTTCCCTCAGCAAACTAACACAGGAAGAGAAAATGAAATACGACCTGTTCTCACTGATAAGTGGGAGTTAAATATCCAGAAGACATGGAAACACAGAGAGAAAGAAAAGACAGTGGGGTCTACTTGAGGGTAAAAGGTGATCCTCTTCTTTTCTTTTTTTTTTTTTTGAGATGGAGTCTTGCTCTCTCACCCAGGCTGGAATGCAGTGGCTCGACCTCAGCTCACTGTAACCTCCTCCTCCCAGGTTCAAGGGATTCTCCTGCCTCAGCCTCCTGAGTAGCTGGGATTACAGGCATGCACCACCGCAAAAAAAAAAACCACAAACTTTTTTTTTGTATTTTTAGTAGAGATGGGGTTTCACCTTGTTAGTCAGGCTGGTCTTGAACTTTTGACCTCAAGCAATCCACACACCTCGGCCTCCCAAAGTGCTAAGATTATAGGCATGAGCCACTTCGCCCAGCCAATACTCTTCTTGTAAAGACACAATTCTACCAGGTTACAACCCCACACTTATGATCACATTTGACCTCAGTTACCTCCTCACAGACCCTGTCTCCAAATACAGTCGTAATGGTGGACTCAGAGCTTCCACCTGTGTCTCTGAGCGGTGGTAGGGGGTCAAATCCAGTCCACAAGAAGAGATGGGAAGGGGACCAGCCTATAGAGAAAGCACCTGGTGGCTGCAAACACCAAGCCAGATCCATGGTTCCTGAGCTGTTCTACACGCTGAATGATCAGAATTGACTCTGGGGCTGGGCATGGTGGCTCACACCTGTAATCCCAGCACTTTGGGAAGCTGAGGGGGTGGATCACCTGAGGTCAGGAGTTCGAGACCAGTCTGGCCAACATGGTGAAACCCCGTCTCTGCTAAGAATACAAAAAATTAGTCGGGTGTGGTGGTGCCCACCTGTAATCCCAGCTACTCAGAAGGCTGAGACAGGAGAATCGCTTGAACCTGGGAAGTGGAGGTTGCAGTGAGCCAAGATTGTGCCACTGCACTCCAGCCTGGGTGACAGAGCAAGACTCCGTCTAAAAAAAAGAAAAAAAAAATTGAACAGCAAGGTGTGCATGGAAAGAAAACTCACTACCTAATTTTGTGCTGAGCTCCTAAGACCTGAAATGAGCTCTGCCATTCCTGCCTGTAGATTCTGAGCAGTGTCTGAAAACACATGCCTGAGAAATCCAGTCTTTGGTCAGTAAGAAAACATCCGCCAAGGTCTGAGTATGGAGCGCGACCCTGTTAAGTTGAGATTAAATTGTGGTCACTGAAGAGCAAGTGGGTAATTAACAAATCACAGAGCAATTAGCCAGCAGAAATGACTAAATCAAGACTGGGACCTGAAGGATAGGAAATTCTTCCTCCAGGGTCACAAAGTGGAAATTCCAGCTGAAATGTTTATCTTGGTCTGTGGCAGTTTGAGTTAGAAAAGAGGAGGGTGTCCAGAGATGGTGTCCGGAGACCCTGAACAAAAGGATGTCCACTGGGATTCATTCTCATTGTTGATGAGAGCCCAGGGGGTGATCCTCGGGACACCACAGTAAATGATAGATGATACATAGATGGAAAGGGTAGATAGATAGATAGATAGATAGATAGATAATAGATGATAGATGGAAAGGATAGATAGATAGATAATAGAAGATAGATACATGATAGATCTATAGATAATAGATAGATGGAGATGAGAGATACGTACATAATAGATGATAGATAGATGATAGATCTATAGAAAATAGATAATAGATGGAGATAAGAGATACATAGATAATAGATAGATACATAATAGATGATAGATACATGATAGATCTATAGAAAATAGATGGAGATGAGCGATACATACATAATAGATGATAGATAGGCAGATAATGATGGATCAATAGGCAATAGATAATAGACAGATGGAGATAAGAGATACATAGATCATAGATAGATGATAGATCGATAGATAATAGATGGAGATGAGAGATACATAGATGATAGACGGATGATAGATCGATAGATAATAGATGGAGATGAGAGGTACATAGATAGGATAGATAAATAGAGATGATAGATGGAAAGGATAGATAGACACATAATAGATGATAGATAAATGATAAATCGATAGATAATAGATGGAGATGAGAGACAGATAATAGATGATAGATAGATAGGCAGATAACACATGATCGATGATAGATCAATAGATAATAGATGGAGATGAGAGATACATAGATGATAGATAGATGATAGATCGATAGATAATAGATGGAGGTGAGAGATACATAGATAATAGACAGGTTAGATAAATAGACATGATAGATGGAAAGGATAGATAGATACATAGATAGATAATAGATGATAGATTGATGATAGGTCGATAGATAATAGATAGATGGAGATGAGGGATAGACGATAGATAGATAGAGGTGATAGATAAATAGAGATGATAGATAGTTGATAGTCAGACAGGTAGAACAGAAATGTATCCTCTCCCAGTCCTGCAGACCACAAGTCTGAACTGAATGTGTCTCAGGGCTGAGCTCCCTCTGGAGGTTCTAGGGGAGGATCCTTCCTGCCTCTCCCAGATCCTGGGGGTGGCAGGCATCCATGGGCTTGTGGCCACATCATTCCAGTCTCTGCCGCCATGTCCATGTGGCCTCCTCGTCTGTGTCTGTGTCTCCTCTTCTGTCTCTTGTGAGGACACCTGTCATTGGACTTAAGGCCCATGCACCTCCAATATGATGTTGTGTTAACTCATCACTTCAGCAAAAATCTTATTTCCGAATAAGGTCACATTCTGAGGTTCCCGTTGGATGGATTTGGGACACATTCTTCAAAGCAGCCCACTCAGGTAACAGCATGATTATTCCCCAGGATTATCTACAGTTGATAGACCAAGGGTCAGGTAAGAGGCAGAAAGACCAGGAAGAGATGGCTTCAAAAGTCAAGCACAGGGTGTGTGGTGGAGGGCTGAGACTTCACTGGGCACCCTAGAGGTCATAATGTACTCACCTGTGGGATACATGCTGAGGGCAGAACCATGAGGATTTCCTGATAAAAGCCTATGTTCTGGGAAATTCATAATTACACAAGATGTGCCAAACAGCCTTGTGACACCAAGAATATGTTCAGACATTGCCAAATGTGCCCTAGGGCAAAACATCGTACCTGGTTGCTAGCAACTGCCATAGATAGATATATAATAGATAGGTAGTAGGGAGAGAGCAAGGGGGAGAGAGCAAGAGTGAGAGAGAGAGAGAGAGAATACTTAGGTAAATAGATGAGAGATAGCTGGATAGATAGATAGATAGACAGATGATAGATTAGATAGATGCTAAGGAGGTAGGTATATAGACAAGTAGATGGATCAATAGATGATAGATAGATAGATAGATAGATAGATAGATAGATGCTAAGGAGGTAGGTATATAGACATGTAGATAGACCAATAGGTGATAGATAGATGCTAAGTAGATAGGTAGGTAGATATGTAGATAGATCAATAGATGATACAGAGATAGATGCTAAGTAGGTAGATAGATAGATATATAGATAGATCAATAGATGATAGATAGATGCTAAGTAGATAGGTAGACACATATGTAGATAGATAACAGATGATAGATGCTAACTAGGTAGGTAGATAGATGTGTAGATAGATCAATAGACAATAGATAGATTAGATAGATGATAGATAGATGATAGATAGATAATAGATGCTGAGTAGGTAGGTAGATAGATATATAGATAGGTCAATAGATGATAGATGCTAAGTAGGTAGATAGATGTGTAGATAGATCAATAGATGATAGCTAGATACAAAGATACATAGACGCTGAGTAGGTAGGTAGGTAGATATGTAGAGAGATCAATAGATGATAGATAGATACATAGATACATAGACGCTGAGTAGGTTAGTAGGTAGATATGTAGAGAGATCAATAGATGATAGATAGATACATAGATGCTGAGTAGGTAGGTAAGTAGATATGTAGGAAGATCAATAGATGATAGATGGATACACAGATACATAGATGCTGAGTAGGTAGGTAGGTAGGTAGATATGTAGAAAGACCAATAGATGACAGATAGATGCTAAGTAGGTAGACGGATAGATATGTAGATAGATCAATAGATGATAGAGAGGGATAATAGATGCTAGATCGATCAATGCACAGATGATAGAAAAATAGATGATAGACATGACAGATGATAGATGAGTTACATAGATGATAGAAAAAAAGATGATCAATACACAGAATGATAAATGATAGAAATAGACAATGGATAGATACGTGATAATACATGATATATAGATATAGGTAGATGTTAGATAATAGATGATATATAGAAGATATGTAGATATTAATAGATAGATGAACAGATAGAATAATAACAATAGTGACAGATGAAAGACAGAGAGAGAATATGTAGACTGAGTCTCTCATGCTAAAGAAGATTTTCTCAACCTCAGCAGTATTGATGTTTAAAACCAGATCATTCTGGCCAGGCACAGTGGTTCACGCCTGTAAACCCAACACTTGGGGAGGCTGAGGCGGGCGGATCTTGAGGTCAGCAGTTCGAGACCAGCCTGGCCAACATGGTGAAACCCCATCTCTGCTAAAAATACAAAAATTAGCCAGGTATGGTGGCATGTGCCTGTAGTCCCAGCTAGTCAGGCGGCTGAGTCAGGAGAATCGCTTGAACCTGGGTGGCGGAGGTTGCAGTGAGCTGAGATCGCGACACTGCACTCCGGCCTGGGCGACAGAGAGTGAGACTCCATATCAAAAAAAATAAAAATAAAAATAAACAAAAAACCCAGGAGATGATTAATTTTTTTTTGAGATGGAATTTCACTCTTGTCACCCAGGCTGGAGTGCAATGATGTGTTCTCGGCTCACTGCAACCTCTGCCTCTCAGGTTCAAGCGATTCTCCCATCTCATCCTCCTGAGTAGCTGGGATTACAGGCACCCGCCACCACGCCTGGGTAATTTTTTTGTATTTTTAGTAGAGACGGGGTTTCACCATGTTGTCCAGGCTGGTCTCGAACTCCTGACCTCAAGTGATCCGCCCACCTCGGCCTCCCAAAGTGCTGTGATTGCAGGCGTGAGCCACCGTGCCCGGCCAAGATGACTAATCTTACGGGCAGAACATCCAAGACCAGTTTCTCCCTGCGGTTACTTCTGTGGCACCTGGCCAAGACAAATAGCCTGAGACCCGTCTTTCTGAGAAAGACAAACTGTGAGCAGCAGAAATTGATTTTTATTAGCTCAGGGAAGCAGAATGTGTTACACTTTGGAACTGGCAAGAGATGAGAACTAGCAGGATCTCTAAACGCAGAGGAACATTTCAAAAGTGTCTCAAACTCACCAAGTTTCGATTACTTTCTTCTTCCTGTAACATCTGAGCACTGCTCAAAGGCTGGGACTTCAGGCTAACTCAACAGGGGGACTCAGAGAATATTAATTAGATTTCAGACATTGAAGCATGGATGTGAGTCATGAGCCAACACCAAAAATAAAATTTTAAAGCATTTGATGCAATATGTCAAGGGGAAGATAAGTCGGAAGGGAACTATGGAAAAACGCCTTTATTTTTTCCTGAGAGGATGGCAGATATTCAAAGCCTTTCTCTCTGGGCTGAGACGTCATGGTCCTTTGCTCTGCCTGGAACTGGAAGTTATCCCTTGAGATTATATTTATACACGCACCAAATGGCGTCAAACAGAAACATGGAAATGTCCCAGTTTTTAATCTGACTCGAAAGGGTGTTTTTCTCACTGTTTAAGCCTGTTCTTTGAGTTCCGTGGGGTACTGAGGTGGATTCCAGCATCTGGCTCAGTGGAAGGTCTTGGGATCCCACAGGGGTTCTGGTTTGAAAGAGGCTCAGCTCACTCACTGCTCTCTTATATATCGAATAAGGTAAATGAATTTGCCATTAAATACTCCCAAAGAAAACTCCAACCCCAAACAGCTGTACAGGTAAATTCTACCAATTATTCAAGAAAAAAAAAACCTCAATGCTATAGAAATGCTTCCAGAAAATGGAAGCATATACTTCTCAGCCCATTATATTAAAGACTTTTTGTATATTTGCTCATGAGGAATCTTTGCCATTCGTTTTAGAGTCTGACAATGTCCTAGTCTGGTGTTAGTATCCAGGGAATGCTGGCTTCGCAAGATGTTGACAGATTAATACCACCAGTACTAAAACAATAGTATTGGCCGGGTGCAGTGGCTCACACCTGTCATCCCAACACTTTGGGAGGCCGAGACAGGCGGGTCACCAGGTCAAGAGATTGAGACCATCCTGGTCAACATGGCGAAACCCCGTCTCTACTAAAAATAACAAAAATTAGCAAGATGTGCTGCTGGGTGCCTGTAATTCCAGCTACTCGGGAGGCTGAGGCAGGAGAATCGCTTGAATCCGGGAAGCGGAGGTTGCAGTGAGGCTGAGATCGCGCCACTGCACTCCAGCCTGGATGACAAGAGTGAGACTCCGTCTCAAAAACATAAATGAAAAGAAAAGAAAGAAAAGAGAGTCTCACCCATAAGTGGGAGTTGAACAATGAGAACACATGGACACAGGGAGGGGAACATCACACACCGAAAAGGAGAGGAGAGGGGAGGGGAGAGGAGAGGAGAGGAGAGAGGAGAGGAGGGAGGAGAGGAGAGAGGAGAGGAGAGAGGAGAAGAGAGGAGAGAGGAGAAGAGAGGAGAGAGGAGAGGAGAAGAGAATATTTCATGACCAAGGGTTGGGGAAGGAAAGAATCTATCCCAGAAATGTGGGTTGGCTCAGCCTTTGAAGCAGATCAAGGTAACTCACCATGACAACAGAATAAAGAATTAAAAGCATATGATTACAGTAAATGCCAAAAAGACAGTTGACAAATGTACACATTCATGTTAAAATATATATATATATCTTAAAGTAGGAATAGAGACAATTTCTTCCACCTTATAAAGCACATTACAAACTGACAGCTATTGATTATACTTAGCAGGGAAGGGCTAAATGCCTTCCTGGTAAGATCAGGAGCACAGCAAAGTGTCCTGTCTCACACAAAAGCAAACTGTAGGACCCTCTAGTGCAATTCAAAAAAGCTAAGAAAATGCCTACATATTGGGAAGGAGGAATAAAACTTTTTTTATTTAAGAAAGTGCTTATGCAATAGAAACGATATGAAAAATAGTTCAACCATTGTAGAAGACAGTGTGGCGATTCCTCAAGGATCTAGAACCAGAAATACATTTGACCCAGCAATCCCATTACTGGGTATACACCCAAAGGATTATAAATCAGTTTACTATAAAGACACATGCACACGTATGTTTATTGCAGCACTATTCACAATAGCAAAGACTTGGAACCAACCCAAATGTCCATCAATGATAGACTGGATGAAGAAAATGTGGCACATATACACCATGGAATACTATGCAGCCATCAAAAAGAATGAGTTCATGTCCTTTGCAGGGACATGGATGAAGCTGGAAACCATCATTCTCAGCAAACTAACACAAGAACAGAAAACCAAACACCGCATGTTCTCACTCATAAGTGGGAGTTGAACAATGAGAACACATGGACACAGGGAGGGGAACATCACACACAGGGGCCTGTCAGGGGGTGGGGGGCAAGGGGAGGGAGAGCATTAGGACAAATACCTAATGCATGCAGGGCTTAAAACCTAGATGACGGGTTCACAGGTACAGCAAACCACCATGGCACATGTATACCTCTGTAGCGAACCTGCACATTCTGCACATGTATCCCAGAAGTTAAAGTAAAATAAAAATAAAGAGAAAGGGACCTTCTAACTAGGCTACTGGTTAAAAATAAAAAAGAAAAGAAAAAGCAAAGGTCCAGATATTGAACTGGACGTTTTAGACAAGCAAGCATTCTTTGGATTTTAGAGCCTCCCGGGCTGAAAGAGTAACTTAGCTTGGGTACAGGCACCCTCCACTGGACACATGGGTTCACAGAATGGGATTTGGATAGAAAGCAATTATCTCATAACGTTACAGAAGAGGAAGCTTCAATACACTTCCAAACAAATGAACCCGGTGACGTGACAATTCGCCGCAAAACTATGATTAAGAAAATTAAAATGTATCCACGACTCTTTCAAACACCTTGGAACGTATTAAGGGAGAGGGGAAATGAGAATCTGTTTAATCCGCCGATGAAAAGGTTTTGAAAGCTGGTTTTGCATGATCATAGGGAAGAGAGACCAGGTGCTCCAAGAACCTTCATAAATGGAAAATCACTGGAATTATGCACCATTGTGAATCAGGCAGGTGTTTGAGACCCTGTAAAGGTTCAGATACAACGGTTATTTATTTTTCACTTCCTAGTAGATATTCTAACCGTGCAATGCTGGGTTGCTGGGCTGCTGTTACTGACAGATGCATGAGTCTCTTTATTAGGTGCCTGATGGAGTGTGTGAAATCCTTGGTCTTTTTACATTTTTTAAACAGAAATTGGCCACTGGAGAACTTCAGTCAAAAATTTCCACATGGCTTCAAGTCTGTTTCATTTTAAAATCTGAAACCGTATGTTTCTTAAAGAGAAAATGTAGGTAGGTGAGCGGCAACAATTAGCATCTGTCTTACATGTTTTATACATAATTATGAGATAAATAGAATAAATGTAGTGTATACATACACGAATACACATATACATATATACACACATACATATTCACACATATATACACACGTACATATACATATCTACACACACACATACACATACATATGCACACACATACATATATACACACATATATACACACATATATATATACATGTACATATATACACACATATATACATGTACATACGTGCATATAAACATATACATATATACACACATATGTACACACAGACATGTGCATATACATATATACACACATACATGTACATGCAGACAGATATACACACATGCATATATACATATATACACACATGTACATATATACACATGTACATATAAACATACACACATATACATATACATACGCACATATATACACATACATATATACAAATCACATATATACTCATATATACGTGTACATATATACACATACATATATGCACATATACATATATACATATAAATGCACATATACATATACACACACATATATACACTCACACATATATACATGTACATATATACACACATACATCTATACGCACATATATACACATATACACACATACATATATACACATACATATATACATATACATGTATACACACATACATATGTATATATACCCACACACTCACACAGAGTTGGCTGTTCATATCTGTGGCTTCCAAATCCGTGGATTCAACCAACCACAGATGAAAAATATTTGGAAAAAAATGCATCTGTACTGAACATGTACAGACTTTTTAAAACATTATTCCCTGAACAATATGGTATAGTAACTATTTACATAGCACTTACATTGTATTAAGTATTATAAGTAATATAGAGGCAATTGAAGGTATTTGGAAGGATGTGCATAGCTAATATGCAAATACTACACCATTTTATATCAGCCACATCCATGAATTTTACTATTATCTGTCGTGTGTCCTGGAACCAATCCCTCACAGATAACAAGGGATGACTGTATATAGATGAGTTAGAGATACAGAAATATAGAAAGAGAAAAATAAATAGATAAGATACCTGGATAGAGCGATACAGCGATGAAAGGATTGATTGACTGATGATAGATATATGGATGGATAGATAGAAGATAGATAATACATAGATACATACATAGATAGCTAGATAGATAGATACTAGATACATAGATAGCTAGATAGAGAGATACATAGATGATAGATAGAGATAGATAGATACATAGATAGATATAGATAGAAGATAGATACATAATACATAGATACATAGATATATAGCTAGATAGATAGATACTAGATACATACATAGATAGCTAGATAGATAAATAGATACATAGATGATAGATAGGTAGATAGAGATAGATACATAGATAGATATAGATAGATAATACATAGATACATAGATATAGATAGATAATAGATACATAGATATAGATAGATAGTAGATAGATAGATACATAGATAGTAGATAGATAGATACATAGATAAATAGATAAGTAGATAGACTGGGGGCAGAGATGAGGAAGTGAGGATGGAGAGACGTTGGCGGGCTCAGGTGAGGAAGGGACTTTCACGTCAAGGGTGAAGGGCATCGTGGCAGTGGGGGTTCAATGTGGTGGACCCGGAGTCTCTGTGGCCAGGCGACTGAGGGGCAGCAAGGTGGGATGAGTGCACTGTCCACGCAGCCCTCTCCACCCAGGGACGCTGGTCATCCCCTGCCCCTCAGGTGACACCATCTACTCAACCCACAGGTCCTGCAGGTGCATCTTTCAGGCTGAAACCACCCACCTCTTGGTGACCAAACTGGAGGAATGGCCAGCGCCTCTCCTGGTCCCCTCCTGCCTGGCTGAGCCTCTCCAGGAAATCCAGGACATTCACTGAAGAGGGTGTAAACCCTGACCCAGCGGGTGGGGTTTGTGTGTGAGGCTGAAAGAGTCAACACCAGGGTGGCATGTCATCCTGGAGCGGCACACCCCTTTACCCCTGGGAGAGCAGGTTCTTCCTCGACTCAGAAATAGGTGGATTTCTGAAAATGTACGCAGTGACACAGCAGTGGGGGGCATATGAGTACATGACTCTGTGCATATGGTTCTCTCTCTATATATACATCTGTATATCCAATGTGCGTTTATACATGTGTGTGTACACACCTCAGTGTATATGGCTCTATCATCTGTCAATCAACACGACATCAATCTATGTACCTGTCTCCTATCTATCATCTATCTCTATCTATCTATCTACTATCCATCTATCTATCTTTCTATCTACTATCTATCTACTATCTATCTTTGTCTATCATCTATCTATCTATCTATCTATCTATCTATCTATCTATCTATCTATCTATCATCTGTCTACACAGCTACCTGTCTACTGTCTTTCTATCTACCTACCTACCAGCTACTTGTCTTCTATCTATCTACCAGTTACTTTTCTATCTACCTATCTACCTACCAGCTACTTGTCTACTATCTATCTTCTATCTCTGTCTACTATCTACCTATTTACTTATCTATTATCTATCTATCTACCATCTATCATCTATCTATCTATCTGTCGTCTATCTCCTATCTATCCATCCAGATATCTATGTACCTGTCTCCTATCATCTATGTTTCTATCTATCTATCTTATCTATCTATCTATCTATCTATCTATCTATCTATCTATCATCTGTCTACACAGCTACCTGTCTACTGTCTGTCTACTTACCTACCAGCGACTTGTCTTCTATCTATCTATCTACCACTTTTCTACTATCTACCTACCAGCTACTTGTCTACTGTCTATCTTCTGTCTACTATCTATTTACTTATCTATCTATTATCTATCTACCATCTATCATCTATCTTTCTATCATCTATCTATGTATGTATCTATCTATCTATGTATCTATCTGTCGTCTATCTATGTATCTATGTATTTATCTATCTCCTATCTATCCATCCAGGTATCTATCATCAATTAATCTTTCATCTCTGTATCGCCCTATCTCTCTATATATCTTTCTGTATCTCTAAGTCATCTATATACAGTCATCCCTTGTTATCTGTGGAGGATTGATGTCAGGACACTCAGCAGATGCTAGTAAAATTCATGGATGTCCCTTATATAAAATGGTGTAATATTTGCATATTGCCCACGCATATCTTTCCAGATACCTTCAATCACCTCTATATTCCATCCTCGCTACCTCATCTCTGCCCCCTAGTCTGAGAGCAAAGAAATCCCTCCCTCTAAGCATCAACCACTTTAGGTCTAACCCAAACCCACGCGCGCCTCCCTCTTGAAAACAGACCTTGAAGTCAAGCGAGGGAGAGGCTGGTTTTTCTCCATCTCTCTGGTCTAACCCATCCCTCCCCTGGCGAGATGAAGCAAGCACCATCAGGCTACTCAAATTAGTTGGCAGGGCAGTGGGTGAAAGGGAAGATGAGCAACTGAATGAGAGGGAGAAACCTCGTTTACAAACACCCCAAAGCATCACCCTGCCGTGTGTACATAGAACATTACCAAGTCCCTTCTTCCTTCATTCTAAGGAGGATGCACCTCTGACATCCAGCCTGATTCAGGCTAGGCTGGAGATCAAAGGCTCAGAAAAAGAGCCTGATGTTCTCAGAGGACCCCATCCAGGTCTCCAGAATGGGAAAATCCCCACTGGGGGGTTTAAAGTGGAAACCCAGGTGGGATGGAGGTGATTCTGCCCAGAGGGTCCCCACTGCCCAACCAGGTTTGAGAGCCTGTGCTTGCAGCCAGCAATGGGTCCACAATTGGGATTTGGAGGTCCCTGCCAGATATATTCCTGTTGCAAAATGACTGTTTTCTTGTGCTTTTAATCCCCATGTTTCCTCCGAGTACCTGAAGCCTCCCTTCCAGTCATAACTCAGGGCCTTTCCAACTCTTGGCATCTTCCCAAGATGCCAATCTTCCCAGTCTTCTCTCCTACATTCTTGTAAACGACTTCAAATAATTTTTTTTTTGAGCCAGTCTTGCTCTGTCACTCAGGCTGGAGTGCAATGGCACAATCTCGGCTCGCTGCAACCTCCGCCTCCCGGGTTCAAGCAATTGTCCTGCCTTGGCCTCCTGAGTAACTGGAATTACAGGTGCCCACCACCATGCCCAGCTAATTTTTGTATTTTTAGTAGAGACGGGGTTTCGCCATGTTGGCCAGGCTGGTCTCGAACTCCTGACCTCATGTGATCCAGCAGCCTCGGCCTCCCCAAGTGCTGGGGTTACAGGTGTGAGCCACCGTGCCTGGCCTCAGATAATTTTTTAAACAAAGCAAGCCCGCTTCCTCTCCAAAAAATATAGGCAACATAGATAAACCATGTTTGAGATCCTGTACTTGCAGCCAGCAATGGGTCCACAACTGGGATTTGGAGGTCCCTGCCAAATATATTCCTGTTGCAAAATAACTGTTTTCTTGTGCCTTTAATTCTCATTTTCACTCCAAGTACCTGAAGCCTTCCTTCCAATCACAAGTCAGGGCCTTTCCAACTCTTGTCATCTTCCCAGAGAAGACGAGTCAGTCTCGTGTGTATTTATAATGAACTCGATGCTCTGTGGATTAGGGTTTTTTTCTCTCCTACATTCTTGTACACTACTTCAAATTTTTTTTTTTTTGAGACAGAGTCTCGCACTGTCACCCAGACTGAAGCACAGTGGCGCAATCTTGGCTCACTGCAACCTCCACCTCCCGGGTTCAAGCAGTTCTCCTGCCTCAGCCTCCTGAGTAGCTGGGATGACAGATACCTGCCACCACGCCTGGCTAATTTTTGTATTTTTAGTAGAGACGGGGTTTCGCCATGTTGGCCAGGCTGGTCTCGAACTCCTGACCTCAGGTGATCCGCCAGCCTCAGCCTCCCCAAGTGCTGGGGTTACAGGCGTGAGCCACCGTGCCTGGCCTCAAATAATTTTTTAAACAAAGCAAGCCCCCTTCCTCCCCACAAAACGACTGGCAAGATAAATAGATAAACAATGTGGGTCATAGATGCTTGGTGATTCTTCTACGGCTGAGGTATCCGAGTGGACATCTGTGTGTCCACGTAGAGAATAAGACTCATGGATATTTGCAGACACCCAAGTCAGGGAGAAATTTAAAGAGTGACAGCCTTTCCTCATGAGGAATGCATGCACGACTGCGGTGTCCACAAATCTGTTTCAATACTGTTTGAACGCTGCTTCAACCGCTGTTTCAATGCTGCTGGCTTTGGATCTGGTCCCAGTATCCCCAGTGTGAATGGGAGGCTTATCAAATTCCCAGATTTGACTCCATTTGCTTCTATCAGATTCCCCAATTTCACTCCATTTGCTTCAGCACGTATTTTCTCTACCAAATGTCCCACCTCCTATGTGCCAAGCACACAGAGATATTGGGATGGGGGGTATGGGAGGTAGAAGGGTGATTTCCAGAGGCACAAACTGCCCATCGGAGGAAGCAATGCCTACAGGCTAGGCTGGATACCAGAGGCTCAGAAAAAGAACGTGATGTTCTCATACGACCCCCATCCAGATCTCCAGGTGGCACCTGCCACCACACCTGGCTAAGTTTCTGGCTGAAAGTGAAGAAGATAACATTGCAATATTTTCTTGAAGTTCTGCGCAGGTACACAAGCTTTTAAACTCACCCTTCTTGTTTTAAAAATTCGAGACAGAACGTCGCTCCATCACCCAGGCTGGAGTGCCTTGACGTGATCTTGGCTCACTGCAGCCTCGACCTCCTGGGCTCAAGTAATTCTCCGGCCTCCCAAAGTGCTGGAATCATAGGCATGAGCCACCACACCTGGCTGAAACTCACTATTCTGTTTTTTTTTTTTTTTTTTTTTTTTTAGACGGGGTCTTGCTCTGTCGCCCAGGCTGTAGTGCAGTGGCGTGATCTCGGCTCACTGCAACCTCCACCTCCTGGGTTCACTCCATTCTCCTGCCTCAGCCTCCCGAGTAGATGGGATTACAGGCACACGCCACCATGACTTGACTAATTTTTTGCCTTTTTAGTAGAGTGGGGATTTCATCATGTTGGCCAGGATGGCCTTGATCTCTTGACCTTGTGATCCACCCGCCTTGGCCTCCCAAAGTGCTGAGATTACAGGCGTGAGCCACCACACCTGGCTGAAATTCACTATTGTTTATACTTTTTATATCTGTTAAAATTTCCATAACACATTGACATATACAAATCTGGCAATATACATCTACAAGAATAACAGATAAGCAAACATCAGAAACTGAGAAGAGAGATTTTTTCTTTCTTTTTCATAGCATGTTGTCTTTCTGTAAGCTAAAGAGAAGTGAGTGAGTGACAGACCATGGCCCCCTGGACGCATCTAAAATGCTCTATGTGGAAGAGGAAAGAAAGGGAAAATGGGGGGAGAAAGGCAAAGAGGAAATAAGACTTCTCTCCCTGAGAAGTTGAAAACCATTTCACCGTGAGGGAAGTACACCCATCTTAAATATACTTCTCATTTGGAAATGAGAGTTAAGAGAATAGTTTCTTCCACCAGGTAGGTTTAGCCTGAAGTCCTTCAGATGCTGTCTTTGGACGTATATTTGTGTGTGTGTGTGTGTGTGTCTGCATGCATACACATGTTTGACATATACATACACATATATGCTTGTGTATACATATACACGTGTATGTGTATACATATATGCATATTTATACATATACACATATATGTGTATATGCATATGTATACACATACACGTGTATATGTATACATATATGTATATTTATACATATACAATATATGTATACATATACACGTGTATGTGTATACATATATGTATATACATATACAATATATGTCTACATATACATGTACATATGTCAAACATTCATGCATGTAGACACACATATATACATACAAACTCGTGTGCATGTAGATATACACACATACATATACATACACACACACACACACACACACACATATATATATATTTATATATATATATTTTGAGACTGGCTCTGCCGCCCAGGCTGGAGTGCAGTGGCACGATAGCTCACTGCAATCTCCACCTCCGAGGTTCAAGCGATTCTCCTGCCTCAGCCTCCCAAGCAGCTGGGATCACAGGCACCCGCCACCACGCCCGGCTAATTTTTTGTATTTTTAGTAGAGATGGGGTTTCACCATGTTGGCCAGGCTGGTCTCGAACTCCTGACCTCAAGTGATCTGTCCACCTCAGCCTCCCAAAATGCTGGGATTACAGGCTTGAGCCACCATGACCGGCTTAGAACCTTTTCTTTATTTTATTTATTTTATTTTATTTTACTTTATTTTTTTGAGACAGAGTTTCGCTCTTGTCACCCAGGCTGGAGTGCAATGGCGCAATCTCGGCTCACTTTAACCTCCACCTCCCGGGTTCAAGCGATTCTCCTGCCTCAGCCTCCCGAGTAGCTGGAATTACAGGCACCCACCACCACGCCTGGCTAATTTTTGTATTTTTAGTAGAGACGGGGTTTCACCATGTTGGCCAGGCTGGTCTCGAACTCCTGACCTCAGCCATCCACCTCAGCCTCCCAAAGTACTGGGATGACAGGTGTGAGCCACTGCGCCCGACTTAGAACCTCTTCTTATCGTGAAATGATACAATTGGTTCTGTCTCCCTGGAGCACACCAATACCAATATATACGAGGCAAATTGCTGAGAAACTTTCTGCTGCTTAAAGCTCAACCACCGCACAAGCTCCTCTTGGTATACTGGAAACTACACATGGGAAGGTTACCGGAGGTGTTCAGGCATGTCCTGAACTAGGAGGTCTGGGGAGGGAGAGTGGAAAGGGCTAGGAGTCAAAAGGTACAAGTCAGAATGGGGAAGAGGGGCTCAGGCACCTGCCTCTTCCACCACTAGTAAGGAGGCCTGAAGTGGCAGGACCTGCTCCAGGATATACATACTCATAAGAGCATGGCTGCCCAGGGGCCTGAGGTCTTACCCTTCATCCCCCCAAGCTGTGTAATGCTCCAGGTGTGCACCCAGCGCGATGTGGGAAGGCAGCTTTCCCCTGGGTTCCAGCCTTGTAACTGCCTGTGGTCAGACCCACAGGACCATATTTAGGCCACTGACCTGGGTTTGGAATTCCTGTCTCATTCTCAGCTTCCTGCATAACCAGGAATGTGACCTGAGGGAATTTCAGTTCCACCTCTGCAGAGGGAGTGACCACAGGGCCTATCGTGGGCTCTGAGAAGAGAAGAAGTGGGGCCAACTAGTCCTGGGCAATGTGCAGAAGATGGTCAGGGTTAGGTCCAAGTGTTCAGCAGCCAGCAGAACATTGTCTGTGTTAGGTCCTCTAGGTGCAGGACCTTGAGGTTGGACCCACTAACCCTGGCACTGATAGGCCCTTCTAGGTGCTCAGCAAATTGCCCGTCTTCTGCAGTGAATCAGTAGGATGTGCCCAGTCAATAGGCCATCCCCCAGGCCACCTGCAATGGTCATCAGTGAGCCCCTGGGGTCAACAAACCATCTCCAAGGCCACCAACAGTGGTGGTCAGTGAGTCCCCAGGTCAAGAGACCACTTCCCAGCCCACCTGTAATGGTCACCAGTGAGTCCCCAGGGTCAACAAACCATCTCCCAAGTCACCTGCAGTGGTGGTCAGTGAGTCCCCAAGGTCAACAAACCATCTCCAAGTCACCTGCAATGGTGGTGAGTCCCCAAGGTCAACAAACCATCTCCAAGGCCACCAGCAATGGTGGTCAGTGAGTCCCCAGGTCAACAGACCACTTCCCAGCCCACCTGCAGTGGTCACCAGTGAGCCCCTGGGGTCAACAGACCATCATCGCCAAGGCCACCAGCAATGGCCATCAGTGAGCCCACAAGGTCAACACACCACCTCCCAGACAACCTGCAATGGCCGTCAGTGAGCCCCCAAGGTCAACAGACCACTTGAAATGGTCATCAGTGACTCCCCAGGGTCAACAGACCATCTCCCAGGCCACCTGTAATGGTCATCAATGAGTCCCCAAGGTCAACAGACCACCTCCCAGGCTACCGGCAGTGGTCACCAGTGAGCCCCTGGGGTCAACAGATCACCTCTAAGGCCACCAGCAATGGTGGTCAGTGGGCCCCACCAAGTCAACACATCACAGGCCACCTGTGATGATGGTCAGTGAACCCCTGGGGCCAACAGAACACCTCCCAGGCCACTTGTGATAACCATCAGTGTGCCACACCAGGTCCTTAGCAGACCATGGTCCAGGCCTCACTGCCCTGGCCTTTCATGGGGCTAGTGTGTCTGTGGTGTCTCTCTCATACACACACAAAACACACAACATACAACATGTACGTGCTCGCACACACACACCGTCCCTTGTTAAATGCTCATGTTCATGATATAACTTATGTGAGAAGAAAATTTGTATTTGTTCCTGAAAACAGAAGACACTATGAGACTGTGTTTTAGAGGTGTGCCTGCAGAACTCGCTGTTGACATAAATCCAGCAGCATCTGCCCAGTTGGTGGGGAATGCTGGACACAGGACCCCAAGCCTCAGGGCATGGAAGATCAGCATGCTATCCATAAAAATCTCTGGGACCAGTGGGTGGAGGACTAGGCACTGTGCCCATCAATCCAATTAAGCTACTGAAGCTTCCCTGGTCAGTAATTAAGCAGATCACTGGCCGGGCCTGGGGATCCCATCATCACCGCTGTTTGATTTCGTTCTCTGTAGAAGTGCTTGGAATGAAAGTCGGTTTAGCTACAAAACAGCTCTGTAACTCCTCAATGCCGAGAAGTCCTGGCCCAAGCCGCCACCCCGTGCAGGAGATTGTTTCTGCTCCGTGCACAAAGAATCCCCAATCTCCCAACAGTTGGGCTGGCTCGATGATTTTCCAGCTCTTCGATTTGCACTTTCTCCCTCCCTCCCTGAGCTTGTAATGATGGTTCACACTTTATTTCTCCCTGTGCTAGACCCAGAGTCCCAGCTGGAAGTGATGTACTTGATTGAAAAGTTAAAACATAGATCAGAACACCCAGTCCCTTGGTTGGGAGCCTGATGACCTCAAATCTTGCCTCCTTTGTGGGTGAAGTGAAGGGGGCTCCTTGTGATGAGAGGAGATTTTGGGGGCCACTGTCTTTTTGTATGTTGCTGTAACAAAATACTTTAGACTGGGTGGCTTTTGAACACCAGATGTTTATTGCTCACAGTTCTGGAAGTTGGATGTCCAAAATCAAGACATAGAAGATTCAGTGTCTGGTAAGAACCCAGTTCCTGGTTCGTAGATGGCACCTTCTTGCTGTGTCCTTGCATGGTAGAAGGAAAAAAAGGAGCTCTCTGGGGTTCTTTTGATAAGAGCACTCATCCCATCCATGGAGCTTCCATTCTCTTGACCTCATCACTTTCCAAGGGTTCCACCTCTTAATACTATCACCTTGAGTATTAGCTTTCCTCATATGAACTTTGGGGACACAGAAACCTTCAGAGCATAGCACAAATGTTCAAACAAAAATACGTATCCAATTATTCATAGCAGCATTCTTCCCAATCACCAACGGGTAAATACAACCCAAATGTTCACCCATAGGTGAATGGAGAAACAAAATGGCGTCTATCCATATGGTGGAATATGAAACAGCCATCAAACACAATGAAATCCTGACACACGCTGCTATGTGAGTGTACTTTGAGAACATTATGTTCAGTAAATGAAGCCAGATATAAATAAGCCACACCTTGGGTTATTCCATTTATGTGAAATGTCTAGAAGGAATGAATCCCTAGAGATAGAAAGTAGATTAGGGGTTTGCATGGGTTGGGAAAAGGAGGAGTGAGGGCTTAATAGGTACAAGGTCTCCATTTAGGGTGATTAGAATGTTCTGGAAGGAGATGGAGGTAATGGCTATACAGCATGGGGAATGTTGAATGTTCTGGAAGGAGATGGAGGTAATGGCTATACAGCATGGGGAATGTTCTGAATGTCACTAGTAGTAAATGTTATGTTATATGTATTTTGCCATAATTAAAATGTAAAGATAGCTGGGTGTGGTGGCTCACACCTGTAATCCCAGCACTTTGGGAGGTGGAGGTAGGTGGATCACCTGAGATCAGGAGTTTGAGACCAGCCAGACCAACATGGTGAAACCAACATCTCTACTAAAATACAAAATGAGCATGGTGTGGTGACGGGCGCCTGTAATCCCAGCTACTTAGGAGGCTGAGGCAGGATGATTGCTTGAACCCAGGAGGCAAAGGTTGCAGTGAGCCAAGTTTGCATCATTGCACTCCACCCTGGGCAGCAGAGCGAGACTCTGTCTCAAAAAAAAAAAGGAAAGAAAATTTTAATTCCCAGCTCACAGTGCCTGAGATAAGGTATAGGACAGAACAAGGACACCATAAGCAAGGCTTGCTCTTTGTGAGGGAAGCCTGAGAGAAACTTCACTTGCTATGTATTGTTTAAGATGCTATGTATTGTTTTAATATCAAATGCTGTGCATTACAGTGCATAAGGTATCTTTTGAAGCTTTCCTGAAGCTTCCATTTGGAAAATCATGCTTAACCCTACACCTGGTCTTCTTGGCAAGTCAACTCAAAAGGACACCCCGCTACACACCACCTCCTAGTGGCAACGAAGACTAATTGCAGGAATACTCCTACATTCAGATCCTCATTCAAGACTGTCCTGCCAACCCAGAACTCAGCCTTGAAAAATCAGAATGAGGATCTTTGAAGTGGGAGAGGGATGGGAGGTAATTAGAAGAGGAGAGGCATTTTTTTTTTTGAGATGGAGTTTTCCGTTTTGTCACCCAGGCTGGAGTGCAATGGCACAATCTCAGCTCACTGCAACCTCCACATCTCAGGTTCAAGTGATTCTCCTGCCTCAGCCTCCCCAGTAGCTGGGACTACAGGCATGTGCCACCACACCCAGCTAATTTTTTATATTTAGTAGAGATGGGGATTCACCATGTTGGCCAGGCTGTTCTCAAACTCCTGACCTCAGGTGATCTACCCGCCTCGGCCTCCCAAAGTGCTGGGATTACAGGCATGAGCCACCGCGCCCGGCCGAGGAGAGGCATTTCTAAACTTGAGGCATTGTTTTAAATTTGAAAACAAACATTTAAAAAATCATTGCCCAGTGGATCAATTATTAGTGGATCAATTATTATTAAATCTATCCATTTGAAACACACCTGATGCTTAAGGAAGACCCAGGTAGAACCCAAAGTTTGCTTCCCTTGCAAGAAAAAGAAAATAACTACATCAAGTCAAATGGAAGGAGTTTCACCCCAAGTAATACAACGGTCTCATTAGGTATGCATGCCACGAGTCCAGGCTCTCAACCTTGTGCTATACTTTGGGAAAAGAATGAGATAAACTTATTCTTTTTTCAGCCAAATACCAAGAAAGAATGAAGATCTCAGGAATTTCAATGAGACTAAGTTGCCCAGCTAGCTGTTTTTATTTAAATAAGGACAATGATGACTATGATTATATGTTCAGAACTAGAATAAAGCTCTTATCTTATGAAAACAGATATTTTCAGAATTTTTCAGTCACTTTCTTTGTATAATCCCTTCCTCACTTTTCTTCTTTTGCTTTCAGTAAACGAACAGAGCGGAAAACATAAACCCCTTCATTAAAAGTCTCTGCAAAAAGATGCAAACTTTCTAAAAATGTCTTTCACTTCACCTATTCCACAGAAATGATTGTGATTCTCTTTGAAAAAACCTGCAGCTCATTTTTGAACCAGGCTCTTACTAGCATGGATTAAGTAAAAGCCTGAACATACATTTTATTTTGTAAAAGAAATGTTCACATTCAGTTAAAAGTATTGGATCTCACTTATATAAAGAATCTACAAAAATAAAAGAATGAAAAGAAGGCAGAAAGAAGGAAATGAAAAAGAAAGGAAGGCAAATACAAAATACAAAAAATTAGCTGGGCATGGTGGTGGGTGCCTGCAGTCCCAGCTACTCAGGAGGCTGAGGCAGGAGAATGGCGTGAACCCGGGAGGCGGAGCTTGCAGTGAGCCAAGATCACGCCACTGCACTCCAGCCTGGGCGAAAGAGCGAGACTCCTTATCAGAAAAAAGGAAGAAAGGAAAGAAGGAAGGAAGGAAGAAAGAAAATATATAGAAATAGAAAAAATGGTGGTTGTTATAGATGATGTAGAATAAGTCTAGAAATCAAATGCAAAATATAAGGACTATAATACATTTCATATTTAGGATTTTTGTTAAGAGAGTAGATTTAAGGTGCTCTTGTCGCAAAAAAGGTAAATATGTGAGATGATAGCTGTGTTCATTTTCTTAACAATTATAATCATTTCACTATGTCACTATATCAAAAAATCATGTTGCACACCTTAAATACATACAACAGAAATTAATTTTAAAAAAGAAACCAACTCAAACAATGAATCCGGGGATGCTATAATTTATATCAGAAGAGTGCTTTAGAATTGACAAAGTACGCTACACACTTTACCTTGTTGGAACCCTTCCATAAATACGGAGAAACCATCTTTCATTCTCATTTTACAGATGAGAAATGGAGGCTTAAAGAGAGCTAAGTCTCTACCCAAGGTCGTATAACCTGTTCAACACAATATGCTATTCAGGAAAAGCAGAGAGTACTGCGGTCGACATGAATTATTAGTGTGGGCATGTTTATGTGTTTAGTGAACCCAGAGAGGCAATAACCATTATGCCTCTTTGCTCAAGTTGGCCGAATTAAACAAGCCGTCTTGACTCCACCCTGTATGGTTTGTGTCTCCCAAGCTTCATGTGTTGGAAACTTCTCTCTCAAATTAGTATGTTGTAGTATTTGGAGTGGCACCCTTAGGAGACAATTAGAATTAGGTAAGATCATCAAAGCGAGGCCCACATGGACAGAGCTGGTGGCATTATAAGTCCTCCACTATGTTGTACTATAGCAAGAGGCTCTCATCAGATGCAGGCACCATGCCTTTTGGACTTGCCAGCCTCCAGGACTTTACAAAATAAACTTCTTCTGTGAATTACCCAGACGGTGTTACTCTGTTGTAGCAACAGCAAATGGATTAAGACACCTCCTGGGCCGGGTGCAGTGGCTCACGTCTGTTATCCCAGCACTTTGAGAGGCTGAGGTGGGTGGATCACTTGAGGTCAGGAGTTCGAGACTAGCCTGGCCAACATCGTGAAACTCCATCTCTACTAAAAATACAAAAATTAGCCAGGCTTGGTGGCAGTGCCTGTAATGCCAGCTACTCGGGAGGTGGAGACAGGAGAATTGCTTGAACCCGGGAAGCAGAGGTTGCAGTGAGCTGAGATTGTGCCACTGCACTCCAGCCTGGGCAACAGAGCGAGACTCCGTCTCAAAAAAAAAAAAAAAAAAAAAAAGAGATACCTCCTGAACTCAGCCTGGCTATGCGTCTTCTGCAAAGCAATTCCATTCACTTCAGAACAAGCCATCCGTGGCCTCCCAAAGAACATTCACAGAGACCATTTTTCTTTCCTGGAAAACTCTCCGCTGCAAAGCGTATTCTGTCTCTGACAGTTACTTGGACTTCACAGGCATTTATGCAGTGACCTTTTTGACTGTTGACGATCTTTCATTTCCAGTTGGTCTCGGTAGAAGTGGCATTTCACACCCACCCGGCAATGATGCCAGACCAGGCCTGATTCTCCTCTGTCCCAACGGGCAATGAATCGGTGCTTGATGATACGTAAACACAGCTGCATGGAAGAACTCCAGAGCTCGAGTTCAAATTCCCAGTGCCTCCCTCCGTTTCCTGATAGATAAGCAACAGTGCCTCTAGATGGTCAAAGAGAGACCTCTGCCGAAGCCAATTCCATCATCTTCATGAACAGCCACCCCCTCAGCATCAACTGAGAGCATCAGTATACTTGTAAAATGAATACTAGAAGCCTACGGGGACTTACGCAGAAGGCACTCAGGTCTTTTGAGATTTTGACTCGCTGCCATATTGGAGGATTGGAATGTAAGGTGCCCTGCAGTAGAGGACATCTTCTGTTGTAGCTTTGTTTCTTTAGTGCTTATTCCATGATGAGTGCAGGTACAACCCTGCTCATTCCCAGCAAGGGCAGGATAGCAGAAGTCCAGGCTTCATCTGTCTCACAGAACACAGGTAAATGGACATGGATTGTCCTATATAAAGAAATGTGCCAAATTGGTCCAATGTACAGAAACTGTAGTCACTCAACTTTGCTTTGCTTTTTCCTTCCTTCCTCCCTCCCTCCCTCGTTTCTTTCTCTCTTTCTTTCATCTTTCTTTCTCTTTCTTCCTTTCTCTTTCTCTTTTTTTCTTTTTCTTTGTCTCTTTCTCTCTTTCTCTCTCTCTTTCTCTTTCTTTCTCTCTCTCTTTCTCCTTCCTTCCAGCCTGGCCAACATGGTGAAATCCCGTCCCTACTAAAAATACAAAAATTAGCCGGGCATGATGGTGCACACCTGTAATCCCAGCTACTCGGGAGGCTGAGGCAGGAGAATTGCTTCAACCCAGGAGGCAGACATTGCAGTGAGCTGAGATTGCACCGCTGTACTCCAGCCTGGACAACAGAGCAAAACTCCGTCAAAAAAAAAAAAAAAAGAAAGAAAAGAAAAGAAAGAGAAGGGGCCCAGGAGTGACTTGCTGGAGAATTTGGCTCAGGGGTGGTCCCTGTTCAGCCCATTTCTGTCTCAACAAAGGAGATCAAAGCTACACTTAGAAGCTTTCCTAGGTCACAAAAGCATCAATGTTGTTAGTTAGCAACGGGGACTATTTTTATGGCTTTTGAAGACAGGGATAAAGTCCTTCTATGGTGAAAGTCACAAGGGATATGGACTATATAATCAGGACAAAATAAAGGGAAGATGGTGAATTATTACAAATCAAAAAACTTTTATGAGACAAATCAGCCATCTAAAGTGTGTGGAGTTTCTTTCCATTTTTATTTAAAGAAACCAACCACAGAAAGTCATTTCTAAGACTGAGGGAAATTTGAACACATACTGATGAGTAGATAAAAGTATTGTTGGGCCGGGCGCAGTGGCTGACACCTGTAATCCCTGCACTTTGGGAGGCCAAGGCGGGTGAATCACAAGGTCGAGAGTTTGAGACCAGCCTGGCCAACATGGTGAAACTCAGTGTCTACTAAAAATACAAAAAAGTCAGCCGGGCATAGTTGCGGGCACCTGTAATCCCAGATACTTGGGAGGCTGAGGCAGGAGAATTGCTTGAACCCAGGAGGCAGAGGTTGCAGTGAGCCGAGATCACGCCACTGCACTCCAGCCTGGACGACAGAGTGAGACTCTGTCGAAGAACAAAAAGGCCTGATGAGGAAAAAAAAAAAAAAGTTCTGTAGAATTGAAAGGCAGAATGATAATGATGTCTAAGATTTTCTTTCAAATACCGTGGCCAAAAAAATTAAAATGGAAAAATAAAACACATTGATAACTGTTTGTAATCGTTAAAACCTGAGTGGTAGATGCATTAGGGTTCATTAAACCATTTTTTAAGGAAACAGAATTCGAGATCTGAGTACACAATCTCCATCTGAAAGCAAAAAATGCTTCTCCATTTTTAGAAACCAGTTTGTAGATAAGTATGCATGCTGTTAGCTTATATGCTTTAATGCTCTTTAATACGATTTTATATTGTGCCACTGGAAGAATTGTATTTCGTCACTTAGAAAATATCTACTCTAATCTGTAAAAGCAGAATAAATTGCTTCACCAAAGAGACACACAGAGAGAACCCTCAGTGAATCAGACAGCTCAATCATCTATGTAAATATGACCTGAGGGATGGCAGCATTGGGCTTCATTTAATTATTTTACAAAACGTGCCATGCATTTACCATTCCATATACTTTACGATCTTCTGTGGAACAGCTGCAGCCCACACTGCCATACTTGGAAATTGTTTCCATCCATGACACAGGCGCCACTGTGGGCTTAGACATTGCATTATAAAACACGGTGCTTTTCACCAGGTTTATCACTATACCAGCTTATATTTTGGAATAACTTCTATTGATTCTCAAGGATTGCCAGCGGAGACATACTTGGTAGTTACCCAAATGTATTGCGTGGCTGAAATTCATTTTTTGTTTTTTTGAGAAGGAGTTTTGCTCTTGTTGCCCAGGCTGGAGTGCCATGGCAGAATCTCAGCTCACTGCAACCTCCGCCTCCCGGATTCAAGCGATTCTCCTGCCTCAGCCTCCCAAGTAGCTGGGATGACAGGCATAAGCCACCACACCCAGCTGATTTTTTGTATTTGTTAGAGACAGAGTTTCACCATGTTAGTCAGGCTGTTCTCAAACTCCTGACCTCAGGTGATCGACCCGCTTCAGCCTCCCAACGTGCTGGGATTACAGGCATGAGTCTCCACGTCCGGCGGCGTGACTGAAATCTTTACATGAGTTTATATAACGGGTGTTACACACAGTGGCAGGTTACAGTTCTTAATATACAGCCATGGATGGATTTCACTGAGCTTTCCAGCTTAACTCACATTTTAATCAAAGCTGGCTTTTAACATTTTTCCACTTGTCATTAAAAAAAAAAATCCACTGACTGCCTATGTGTCACCAATGACATGATTATTAAGAATCCTCGTTGAGTAGACAATGAGTCACTATGCAAAGCAGGCGGGAAGGTATACTGCCAACCCTGTTCACTAAATGGCAACCTCCTGTTCCAAGGTCTTTTTATATACAAAATCATTGACAGCATCAGATAGCTGTTAAAGACCTCAAGATAGTATTTGAGGTCTCAGCCTTGGCAAGTCTGAATATATTCATTAAAAGCAATTGCTTTAGCGTAGTATTCAGAAAGACTCTTTGATGATTTCAAGCTCTTGTGCCATTGAATTAAGGTAGACTTCCTTGTTATCTAGTTTGACATCCTGTTATCTAGTTTCTGGCCAAATTGCCTCTGTGGCCAGAACATTCTCTTTGTCTAAGTTGGATCATGTCCTCTCTCTCCTTTAAAGAATGCTTTGAGGTCCTACTCACTCTCTTTACTGAGCTACGTAAGTTGCCACAAATCCTCTTCCTTAAAATTGTAGCTTATTCTGTACAGCAAAACAAAGAATCAACAGAGTAAACACACAACTCACAGAATGGGAGAAAAATTTGCCCAACTATGAATCCGACGAAGGACTAACATCCAGAATCTACAAGGAACTCAAACAAATCAGCAGGAAAAAAAAACAAACAATCCCATCAAAACATAGGCAAAGGGCATGAATAGACAATTCTCAAAAGTAGATATATGAATGTCCAATGAGCATATGAAAAAATGCTCAACATCACTAATGATCAGGGAAATGAAAATTAAAACCACAGTGAGATACCATCTTACTCCTGCAAGAATGGCCATAATTCAAAAATCAAAGAATAACAGATGTTGGTGTGGATGTGGTGAAAAGGGAACACTTTTACACTGCTGGTGGGAATGTAAACTAGTTTAACCACTATGGAAACCACTGCGGAGATTCCTTAAAGAACTAATACTAGAACTACCATTTGTTCCCGGTATGGAGACTCCTTAAAGAACTAATAATAGAACCACCATTTGATCCAGGTATGGAGATTCCTTGAAGAATTAATAATAGAACCACCATTTGATCCAGGTATGGAGACTCCTTGAAGAACTAAAACTAGAACTACCATTTGATCCAGGTATGGAGATTCCTGAAAGAACTAATAATAGAACTACCATTTGATCCAGGTATGGAGACTCCTTAAAGAACTAATAGTAGAACTACCATTGGATTCAGGTATGGAGACTCCTTAAAGAACTAATACTAGAACTACCATTTGATCCAGGTATGGAGACTCCTTGAAGAACTAATAATAGAACTACCATTTGATCCAGGTATGGAGGTTCCTTGAAGAACTAAAAGTAGATCAACAATTTCATCCAGCAATCTCAGAACTGAGTATCTACACAGTGGAAAAGAAGTCATTATATGAAAAAAGGCACTTGCCTTTTATTATTATTTATTGATTGACTGACTTTTGTTTCAGTAGTTTTTGGAGGACAGGTGGTTTTAGGTTACATGGATGAGTTCTTTAGTGGTAACTGATAGCAGCACAATTCGCGATTGCAAAAATATGACACCAGCCTAAATCCCCATCAACCAAGGAGTGGATAAAGAAAGTGTGGTGTATATACACCACGGAATACTACTCACCCATAAAATGGAGCAAAATAATGTATTTTGCAGTAACATGGATGGAAGTGGAGGCCATTATTCCAAGTGAAGTAACTTGGGTATAAGAAAACTAAATATCAAACGTTCTCAGTCATAAGTGCGAGCTAAGCTACGAGGATGCAAAGGCATAAGAATTATACAATGGACTTTGAGGACTCGGGGGAAAGGGTAGGAGGGGAGTGAGGGATAAAAGACTACACATTGAGTACAGTGTACATTCCTTGAGTGATGGGTGCATGAAAATCTCAAAAATCACTGCTAAAGAAATTATCCATGTAACCTAAAACCACCTGTTCTCCAAAAATGACTGAAACAAAAGTAAATAAATAAGTAATAAAAAAAATTGTAGCTTAAGCAGCTCAGCTTTCATTGTAATGGTATTCCTTAGCTAGGGCAGCCATGAAAAAAAAAAATCACTGCTGAAGAAATGGCTCAGGCAAGACACAGTGGCTCACACCTGTTATCTCAGAATTTGGGAGGCCAAGGTGGCTGGATGACTTGAGGTCAAGAGTTTGAAACAAGATTGGCCAACATGGTGAAACCTCGTCTATACCAAAAATATAAAAAATTATCCGGGCATGGTGGCTTGTGCCTGTAATCCCAGCTACTCAGGAAGCTGAGGCAGGAGAATCACTTGAACCCAGGAGGCAGAGGTCACAGTGAACCGAGATTGCGCCACTGCACTCCAGCCTGGGTGACAGAGCAAAACTCCATCTCAGAAAGAGAGAAGAAACAAGGAAAGGAAGGAAAGGAAGCAAAGGAAGGAAAAGAAGAAAGAGAGAAAGAGAGAGAAAGGAAGGAAGGAAGGAAGAAAGAAAGAAAGAAAAAAGAAAAGAAAGAAGGAAGAAAAGAAAAAAGTGGCTGCAATGAACAGAAATGGATTCTCTCACAGCTCTGGAGACCAGAAGTCTGAAATGAAGGTGTCTACAGAGTTGGTTTACTTCTGGAGGCTTTGAGGGAGAATCTGTTCCAGGTCTCCCCGCTAGCATCTGGTGGTCGCCAGCACGTCTTGGTGCTCCTTGGCTGGTGGACGCATTACCTCAATCTCTGCTTCTTATCTTCTCCGTTTCCCTTGGTGTCTGGACTCATTACATTTGCAGAGACCTGATTTCCAAAGAAGGTCACGTTAACAGGTACCTGGCGTCAGAACTTGAACCTAATGTTGTAGGGCACACAATTCTACCCATGTCACTCCCTGACACCCAGATTCTGTCCTTTGCTTTCATGGTTGTTGTGACAATACATGAGTCTTCCCTACATGTACTAGATCAGCATTCCTCAAAAGTAGAGATGAAAACCAACATCTGGCTGGGTGCAGTGGCTCACACCTGTAATTCCAGCACTTTGGGAGGCGGAGGCAGGCAGATCACCTGAGGTCAGGAGTTTGAGACCGGCTGGGCCAACATGGTGAAACCCCGTCTCTACTAAAAATACAAAAAAAAAAAAAAAAAAATTAGGCGGGAGTGGTGGCAGGCGCCTGTAATCCCAGCTACTCAGGAGGTTGAGGCAGGAGAAGCGCTTAAACCCGTGAGGCAGAGGTTGCAGTGAGCCAAGATCACACCATTGCACTCCAGCGTGGGCAACAAGAGTGAAACTCCATCATCTCAAAAAAAAAAAAGAAAAAGAAAAGAAAAGCAGTATCTGGGTACTGATAGACTATTTAAAACGTGATTGCAGCAGGGCACAATGGCTCATGCCTGTAATCCCAGCACTTTGAGAGGCCGAGGTGGGCAGATCACGAGGTCACGAGATCAAGACCATCCTGGCTAACACAGTGAAACCCAGTCTCTACTAAAAATACAAAAAAATTAGGCGGGCCTGGTGGCGGGCACCTGTAATCCCAGCTGCTCAGGAGGTTGAGGCAGAAGAATCGCTTAAACCCGGGAGGCGGAGGTTGCAGTGAGCCAAGATCACGCCATCGCACTCTAGCCTAGGCAACAAGAGCAAAACTCCATCTCAAAAAAAAGAAAAGAGAAAAGAAAAGCAGTATCTGGATACTGATAGATTATTTAAAAGGTGATTGCAGCCTGGCATGGTGGCTCATGCCTGTAATCCCAGCATTTTGGGAGGCCGAGGCGGGCAGATCATGAGGTCAGGAGATCGAGACTATCCTGGCTAACATGTTGAAATCCATCTCTACTAAAAATACAACAAAAACAACAACAAAAAAACTTAGCCAGGTGTTGTGGTGTGTGCCCGCAGTGCCAGCGACTTGGGAGGCTGAGGCAGGAGAATGGCGCGAACCCGGGAGGTGGAGTTTGCAGTGAGCCGAGATCGCTCCACTGCACTCCAGCCTAGGGGACAGAGCGAGACTCCGTCTCAAAAAAAAAAAAAAAAAAAAAAAAAAAGGTGATTGCATAAAGCAAAAATAAGAGATGGTGAGAGGAGTGCTGCCATATGGGGAAGATCCAACAGCTGGGGTTGCTATGGCACTTGTTACTGCCATGGGCAAGGGGGTCTGTATCCTGCTGAGGACCCTCTGAAGGATGGAAAGGCTGGAACATTTATCTATCAATTCCTGTTCTCTCACTGCACAGATGGAATCCGTTCTGCAGCATGGAGCAACTCCCTATGCTTCCAAGAAAGCCCTGAGTGAGATGGCTAGCTCCAACTATGTGGATGCAGAGACACAGAGAAGGCTGCAGTGTGATGGGGGCTATGAGAAGTGACCACAATGAAACAACCCAACATCAGTGCATGGATCTTCACTCATCCACAATACCCAGAAAACAAGATCAATAAGCATTCGGGGCATAGCACCAGGTACGGAGCTAAGCTAGGTATGCATTCAACGTCTGACCCCAGAAAAAGGGATATTGTAAATTGGTGCTGTAACTCAGGGGTCCTGAATCCCCAGGGCACAGACCACCACTGGTCCATAGCCTGTTAGGAACCGGGCCACAGAGCAGGAGGTGGGCAGCAGGTGAGTAGCAAAGCTTCATCTGTATTTTTTTATTTTTTATTTTTTGAGATGGAGTCTCATTCTGTCACCCAGGCTGGAGTCCAGTGGTGCAATCTCAGCTCACTGCAACCTCCGCCGCCTGGGTTCAAGCGATTCTCCTGCCTCAGCCTCCTGAGTAGCTGGAATTACAGGTAGTCACACCCCACATCAAGCTAATTTTTGTATTTTTAGTAGAGACAGTGTTTCACCATGTTGGCCAGGCTGGTCTTGAACTCCTGACCTCAGGTGATCCGCCCACCTTGGCCTCACAAAGTGCTGGGATTACGGGCATGAGCCACCATACCTGGCTTCTTCGTCTGTGTTAACGGCTGCTCCCCATCACTTGTGTTACCACCTGAGCTCCACCTCTTGTCAGATCAGCAGTGGCGTTAGAGTCTCATAGCAGTGTGAACCCTATTGCGAACCGCACATGTGAGGGATCTAGGTTACGTGCTCCTTATGAAAATCTAATGTGTGATGATCTGTTACTGTCTCCCATCACGCCTGGATGGGACCATCTAGTTGCAGGAAAACAAGCTCAGGGCTCCCACTGATTCTATGCAATGGTGAGTTGTAGAATTATTTCATTCTGTATTACAATGTAATAATAATAATAGAAATGAAGAACACAATCAATGTCATGTACTCAAATCATCCCAAAACCATCTCCAGGTCATCATCCATGGAAAAAATCATCTTCCACAAAACTGGTCCCTGGTACCAAAAGGGTTGGGAACCACGGCTGTAAATAAAGCTTGAATGGAAAACAGTATGAAGATTTCTCAAAAGACTAAAAATAAAACTATGATTTGATCGAGGAATCCCACTCCTGGGCATAAACCCAAAGGGTAAGAAATCATCCTTTCAATGTATCACCTGAGGTTAGCAGTTTGAGACCAGCCTGGCCAACATGGTGAAACCACATCTCTACTAAAAATACAAAATTAACTGAGTGTGGTGGCAGGTGCCCGTAATCCCAGCTACTTGGGAGGCTGAGGCAGGAGAATTGCTTGAACCCAGGAGGTGGACATTGCAGTGAGCCGAGATCACACCACTGGACTCCACCTGGGTGACAGAATGAGACTCTGTCTCGAAAGAAGAAAGAAAGAAAGAAAAGAAAAGAAAAGAAAGAAAGAAAGAAAGAAAGAAAGAAAGAAAGAAAGAAAGAAAGAAAGGAAAGAAAGAAAGAAAGAAAGAAAGAAAGAAAGAAAGAAAGAAAGAAAGAAAGGAAAGAAAGGAAAGAAAGAAAGGAAAGAAAGAAAGGAAAGAAAGAAAGGAAAGAAAGGAAAGAAAGAAAGAAAGAAAGAAAGAAAGAAAGAAAGAAAGAAAGAAAAAGAAAGAAAGAAATCATCCCATCAAAAATACACCCATAGTCATATGTTTATCACAGTATATTCACAGCAACAAAGATACGGAATCAGTCTAGGTATCTGCCATTGGAGAATTAGATTAAAAAAAAAAACTGTGGTATTTATACACCATGGAATATTACACAGGCTTAAAAAGAATGAAATCATGTCTTCCAAAGAGATGTGGATGAAGCTGGAGGCCATTATCCTAAGATAAATAACTCAGAAAAAGAAAATCAAATACTGTATGTTCTTACTTATAAGTAGGAGCTAAATAATAGGTACCCATAAACATAAGAGATGGAGTTCACAGACACTGGGGAGTCCAAAGGGGAGAGTGTTGGGGTGTGGGGGGGTGAAAGTTGAAAATGTATCTCTTTTTTTTGTCTTTTTTTTTTTTGAGATGGAGTCTCACTCTGTTGCCCAGGCTGGAATGCAGTGGCGAGATCTCGGCTCACTGCAACCTCTGCCTCCCAGGTTCAAGTGATCCTCCTGCCTCAGCCTCCCAAGTAGCTGGGATTACAAGTGCCTGCCACCATGCCCAGCTAGTTTTTGTATTTTTAGTAGATACAGGGTTTCACCATGTTGGCCAGGTGGGTCTTGAACTCCTGACCTTGCGATCCACCTGCCTCAGCCTCCTAAAGTGCTGGGATTACAGGCTTCAGCCACCATGCCCAGCCAGGAGCAGGTGTCTTACATGGCCAGAACAGGAGGAAGAGAGGAGAGAGAGAAGATGCCATACAGTTTTAAACAACCCAATCTCATGAGAATTCACTCACTATACAGTAGCAAGGGGGATGGCGTTACACCATTCATGAGAACTCTGCCCCCTTTATCCCATCACCTCCCACCAGCTCCTCTACCTCCAACACTAGAGATTACAATTTGACATGAGATTTGGGTGGGAACACAGATGCAAACCATATCGCCAGGCCTGTTGAGTCAACTCCTTTCCGTACACACATGCAAAATTTCAAATTGGTCAGTAAAGCCTCACCCATCACCCACTTCCACCAATCCCACCTCCAGTCATGGCCAAAGAAGGCACAAGACCCCAGTTCAAATCACTGTCTTGTGAGGCTGTTCTTTCTACTAGGACCTCAGTTGTGTCTACCAATGATGACTTCAATTGTGTACGATGGATCACTACCAATTTGGAAGTTGCCCTCCCAGCTCTGGTTTCCCCAGCTGTAAAATGGATAAGGTTGTGCTAGATAATTCCCAAGGCTCTATCCATCTTTGATATCCTCTGACTGAATACAGATATTCTACAGAAGGACTGGAGTTGGGCTGTGTCCCAGAACAAAGTGTTACACTTAGGTGCTCTTATCTGTGTTCCTGCCCTTGAGAAAAAAAGTGTCTTCATCCTGCCTAATTTATCAGCTTGTCCTGCATTCCAGAAAATCACAGCTATTTGGCAAATACAAATAGAGTCTCATCAGAATAAGACTCTTAAAACAGTTTTCTGGGTTTTGTTTGTACGTTTTTCTTCCTTAAGACATACCTTGACTCGGGAGGACATTTTCTAGATCATTTAAGTAATGGGGTCTTCCAAGAGCATCTCTTAGATCAGCAAAGTCTGGTTGAATTTCCGTGCCTGCTATTATAAATGGGAACATGCTGTCCTCTGCCGCTCTTACCATTCCAGCCCAAATGGAAGATCCTGTTTAATTTGGTTATTTGAAAGTAATTTCATAGATGAGGAAAGGAAGAACACAGATGTTAGATTGCTTCAAGGCCATTACGATATTGCAGAAGAGATTAGCCTTCTTGGAGTTCTGGGTCGGGCGAGGAGAAGGAAGACGAATGAAGGGTAGGAAACAATATGTATTTATCTTTAAGTTTAGGAGTCCAAAACACCACTTGTTCAGAGATGCCAAATAATTAATTTCCTCAAACCAGGCCACTTTCGGAATGCTGAACACTGCTTGTTTTCTTTGAGCCTCCACATTTTATCATCTTTTCAATGTTCCTATGCAATTTGAAAGGTAGCAAGGGGTTGAAAGATTCCTCAATCCCAGCACTTTGGGAGTCTGAGGTGGGCAGATCACAAGGTCAGGAGATCGAGACCATCCTAGACAAGATGGTGAAACCCCATGTCTACTAAAAATACAAAAAAAAAAAAAAAAAAAAAAAATCAGCCGGCCGTGGTGGCATGCGCCTGTAGTCCCTGCTACTTGGGAGGCTGAGACAGGAGAATTGCTTGAATCTGAGAGACGGATGTTGCAGTGAGCCGAGATCGTGCCACTGAACTCCCAGCCTGGTGACAGAGCAAGACTCTGTCTCAAAGAAAAAAAAAAAGAAAGAGAGATTCCTCTCTGTGGGTATTCTATGCTTAATTCTCTCTTCTTCCAAGAGCACTAAAAACACAAGGAAGGTCATAGGAGAAACAGGCCACATCTCAGCACCCCAAAATCGATCCCACAGTTAGAGGGCATGCATTAGGATTCAGATGCTGTTGTAGAAAAATACCAACAACTGCGTGGCTTGAAACAGCAGACGTCTGTTCTCTCGAACTTCTGGAGGCCAACAGCTGAGATCAAGGTATCAGTAGGCTTGGTTCCTTCTGGAGGCTCAGAGGAGACATCAGGAAACTTACAAACATGGCAGAAGGCAAAGTGAGAACAAGTGTCTTACCTAGCCAGAGCAGGAGGAAGAGAGAAGACAGAAAAAGTGTTACACAGTTTTAAACAACCAGATCTCATGAGAACTCGGTTACTGTAGTACCAAGGGGGTAATGGTGCGAAACCATTCATGAAAACCATTCACGAGAACTCTGCCCCCGTCATCCAATCACCTTTCACCAGCCCCCCTGCTCATATCAATTATATGGTTGGCTCTGTGTCCCCACCCAAATCTCATCAGGAATTGTAATCTCACCCAAATCGGGAGAGATCCATTATACGTAATTGAAGTCACAATTGATATACACAACTAAAGTCTTAGTAGAAAGAAGAGCTCCACAAAAAAGACAGTTTTTTGAACTGGGGTCTTGTGTCTTCTCTGGCCGTAACTGGAGGTGGGATTGATGGAAGAGGATCATGCGTGAGGCGTTACTGACAGCTTTGAAGTTTTACATGTGGGTATGGGAAGCGGTTAATTCAGCATGCCTGGCGATATAGTTTGCATCTGTGCCCCCACCCAAATCTCATGTCAAATCCCCAGGTGTACAAGGAGGGAACTGGTGGGAGGTGACTGGATCAGGGAGGCAGTTTCCCCCATGCTGTTCTCATGATAGTGAGTGAATGCTCATGAGATATGATTTTGTTTTCTTTTTTTTTTGTTTTTTGTTTTTGAGATGGAGTTTCACTATTGTTGCCCAGGCTGGAGTGCAATGGCATGATCTTGGCTCACTGCAACCTCCGCCTCCCGGGTTCAAGCAATTCTCCTGCCTCAGCCTCCCAAGTAGCTGGGATTACAGGCATGAGCCACTGTGCCTGGCTAATTTTGTATTTTTAGTAGAGACAGTGTTTCTCCATGTAAGTCAGGTTGGTCTTGAACTCCTGACCTCAGGTGACCCACCCGCCTCAGCCTCCCAAAGGGCTGGGATTGCAGGCATGGGCCACCACGTGCCGGCCGATCTCATGATTTTATAAGTGTTTAGCTATTCCCCCCTCACTCTCTGTCTCTCCTACCAGCTTGTGAAGAAGTGCTTGCTTCCCCTTTGACTTCTGCCATGACTGTAAGTTTCCTGAGACTTTCCCAGCTATGTGGAAGTGTGAGTTGATTCAACCTCTTTCCTTAATAAATTACTCAGTCTCAGGTACTCAGGTATTTCTTATAGCAGCAAGAAATACCTGAGTCTCAGGTACTCAGGTATTTCTTATAGCAGCATAAAAACAGACAAACACATTTGGTTCATAGATGTGTCAGTCCAACCTCTGTCTCCATCTTCTCCTTTGTGTGTTCTCTTTTTTTCTTACAAGGGCTCCAGTCATTGGATTTAGGGCCCACTCTATTCCAGTGCAACCTCATCTTAACGACGTCCACGAAGACTTTATTTCCAAATAAGTTTCCCTTCTGAGGTTCTGGTGGACATAAACTTTGCAGAGACATACTTCAGCCCACTGCAGAAGACTTTTAAAAAAAAGGGTGGGGGAGGGGGGCTGGGCACAGTGGCTCACGCCTGTAGTCCCAGCACTTTGGGAGGCCAAGGAGGGTGGATCATGAGATCAAGAGATCCAGACCATCCTAGCCTACATTGTGAAACCCCGTCTCTACTAAAAATACAAAAATTAGCCGGGCGTGGTGGTGCACACCTGTAGTCTCAGCTACTTGGGAGGCTGAGGCAGGAGCATCACTTGAACCCGGTAGGCAGAGGTTGCAGTGAGCCAAGATCATGCCACTTCACTGCAGCCTGGGCGACAGAGCAAGAATCCATCTCAAAAAATAAAATAAAATAATAAAAATAGAAAATTTAGCCAGGTGTGGTGGTAAGCATCTGCAGTCAGGCCTATTTGGGAGGCTGAGATGGGAGGATTGCTTCAGGCTGGGGGCCAAGCCTACAGTGAGCCATGATGGCCCCACTGCACTACAGCCTGGGCCACAGAGACCCCACCTCTAGAGAGAAAGAGAGAGAGAATCTCCTTCATTTCAGCAGCATTGATATTGGTGGATGCGACACTCCAGGTGAAATAGGTCCCATTCTTTTCCTCCTTCCACTTCACTGCAGCCTGGGCCACAGACTGAGACCCCATCTCTAAAAATAAAAATAAACAAATAACAAATAAATGAATAGGCTGGGCGTGGTGGCTCACACCTATAATCCCAGCACTTTGGGAGGCCGAGGCAGGCAGATCACCTGCGGTCAGAAGTTTAAGACCAGCCTGGCCAACATGGAAAAACCCCACCTCTACTAAAAAAATGCAAAAATTAGCCGGATGTAGTGACTGCGTGCCTGTTATCCCAGCTACTTGGGAGGCTGAGGCAGGAGGGTCACTTGAACCCAGGAGGCAGAGGTTGCAGTGAGTAGAGATTGCGCCACTGCACTCCAGCCTGGGTGACAGAGCAAGACTCTGTCTTAAAACAAACAATAAAATAAAATGAATAAAAAATAAGAAGAAATCATAGTGTGAGTATAACTATATGTAGCATCCCAGGAGACCTCCTAGCAGCCGTATCACAACACCTGAGGATTGCTCTTGGAGACCCCCACATAGGATGGTGCTAGAAAAAAACAGAAAGAAGCCCTCTGGGCTGCAGTCACTCTGGAGGTATTTATTTATTTGTTGACTTATTGTGTATTCATTCTTTTTTTTTTTTTTTTTTTTGAGACAGAGTCTCACTCTGTCGCCCAGGCTGGAGTGCAGTGGTGCGATCTTGGCTCACTGCAACCTCTGCCTCCTAGGTTCAAGCGATTCTCCTGCCTCAGCCTTCTGAATAGCTGGGATTACAGGCAAACGCCACCACGCCCAGCTAATTTTTTTGTATTTTAGTAGAGATGGGGTTTCACCTTGTTAGGCAGGATGGTCTCGATCTCCTGACCTTGTGATCAGCCCGACTTGGCCTCCCGAAGTGCTAGGATGACAGGCTTAAGCCACCGTGCCTGGCCTCCTTCTTATTTTTAGAGATGAGGTCTTACACTGTGTTATCCAGGCTTCAGTGCCATGGAAAGAGTTGGAGCAGGGACTGATTATACCCAGAGCATCACAACAGCCAATGTCAAGGGTGTGGTGTGGAGGCACAGGACGCGTCCTCTTCCACGGAGCCACAGATGTGAGGAGCTCTCACCCTCCTCCTTACCTCCTGGGGGCCTGGGACGTGATACCTGTAGACACGCTGGGGAGGTGTGAATTGTAAAAGGCCTACCACACTCAGGTGCCGACGCCCTTCGACTCATGAACCGATGCCTGCCCCCTTTGTCTGCCTCCTTTTCCCTCCCACTCTCCCATCACAGATGATCCTTGGCTGGCTTCCCCGTTTCCATGGTTACCGCCTCTGCCAGGGAGGCAGCCACAGGTGGTGGATGCTGTCAGAAAAGCTGCTCAAAAGTCATCGTCCAGAGCCAATACCCAGGGCATCCACGGTGTGAGGCCAACTGGGGACCCCAGGGAACCCCAGACTTGACCCCTGGAAGACATTCCAAATGGAAGACATGGAGCTGGCCAAGGAAGAAAGGTTTGGGACTGGGAGGTGGCTGGGGCATGTGAGAAACAGCTGGCTCCTGGTGTCATACAGGAGAATCATGAGTGTTTGTTTTGGGATGGTTTCTGTGTCCTGTTGTACCACCTGGGCTTGCCTGTCGTTGTCTCAAAGCATTTTTTTGCATGACGTGGTTTATCTGGGGAGCTCTGGACCTCTCAGGTGAACACACAGCCATCATCATGTCGAGTTTATTTTTTTGAGACGGAGTCTCGCTCTGTCACCCAGGCTGGAGTGCAGTGGCACGATCTTGGCTCACTGCAACCTCCGCCTCCTGGGTTCACGCCATTCTCCTGCCTCAGCCTTCCGAGTAGCTGGGACTATAGGCACCTGCCACCACGCCTGGCTAATTTTTTGTATTTTTAGTAGAGACGGGGTTTCACCACGTTAGCCAGGATGGTCTTGATCTCCTGATCTTGTGATCCACCCGCCTCGGCCTCCCAAAGGGCTGGGATGACAGGCGTGAGCCACTGCACCCGGCCATCATCTCGAGTTTCTGAGTGAAGAGTGCGCAGCATGGAGAGGCAAGGTGGTTGGTGGGAGGTGGCACATCCCCAAGGCAACAGAGCAGGGAGGAGATGGGCTGATGTATCCCACGCTGAGAGTGTCCCAGCCAAGGAGCTTGCAACAGGGGGTAGTGGAGAGACGGAGAGTGGTAGAAATGGAAAAATTCCTGGGGAGTAGGAAGTACAATTGCCAGTTTCAATGAGGTGTGAAGGAAAAGGGAGGAAAAAGGAAACGGCTCCCAGACAACACACTTGCAATCCTGGGGGAGGAAGCATGAATGTGTTTTGTTTTTGTTTTCATTTTTTTTTGTTTTGTTTTGCTTTTGTTTTGCGACAAGATCTTGCTCTGTCACCCAGGCTAGAGTGCAGTGGTGCAATCATAGCTCACTGCAGCCTCGATCTCCTAGCCTCAAGCGATCCTCCCACCTCAGCCTCCCAAGTAGCTGAGGCTACAGGCATGCACCACCACACCCAGCTAATTTTTGTATTTTAGTAGAGATGGGGTTTCACCATGTCTCGAACTCCTGAGCTGAGGAGATCCACCCGCATCAGCCTCCCAAAGTGCTGGGATTATAGGCATGAGCCGCCGCACCCAGCTGCATTTTTTTTTTTAAGAGATGGGTCTTGCTCTGTCACTCAGGCTGGAGTGCAGTGGTGCAATCATAGCTCACTGCAACCTCGACCTCCTAGCCTCAAGCGATCCTCCCACCTCAGCCTCCAGAGTAGCTGAGACCACAGGTGCACACACTGCCATACCTCACTACTTTTTCTTCTTTTGTAGAGACGGGATCTAATTGCGTTTCTTAATACACAACACACAACAGGGTAAAGCTCAACACTCCAAAGCATTTAGAGAGCTCACAAAATAATATCACGAGCAAGGAAGTACCCAGAAAATAACCTTGGACCTTAGCCAAGGAGAAATCTCTCTAGCATCCATGCCTTCAGATATCTGCCCCCAACCAGGCGAGGAACTGAGACAGCTTCCACTCTTTGGAAGGTCAGCTCTACCCGGATGGAAGCTGTAAGCTGGATTTTCTGTACCACAAGCTTCCCAGGACATGCCCATGGGCCAGAGCAGAAAAGTTGCCTGCAGTTTGGGACATTCAAGAACACTCTTTGTGGTGGGTTTCTTGGCTGTATGGCTGTTCCATTCCTAGACACACAGACAAGGGGAGAGATCAGTATACACTGGGCAGCTGGTTCACTGCCATCCCAAATTCCAGACCAGAACGTGCAGATGAGTCAGAAAGGGGGTCTTCTATCCATACGAAAGTTTGCAGTGGCAGCCGTGACCAATTTCACAACCTTCAAGGTAGCCGTGACCAATTTCACAACCTTCAAGTCAGACGTGGCAAATTTCACAACCTTCAAGGCAGCCGTGAGCAATTTCACAACCTTCAAGGCAGCCGTGAGCAATTTCGCAACCTTCAAGGCAGCCGTGAGCAATTTCGCAACCTTCAAGGCAGCCGTGAGCAATTTCGCAACCTTCAAGGCAGCCGTGAGCAATTTCGCAACCTTCAAGGCAGCCGTGAGCAATTTCGCAACCTTCAAGGCAGCCGTGACCACTTTCGCAACCTTCAAGGCAGCCGTGAGCAATTGCACAACCTTCAAGGCAGCCGTGAGCAATTGCACAACCTTCAAGGCAGCCGTGAGCAATTTCACAACCTTCAAGGCAGCCGTGAGCAATTTCACAACCTTCAAGGCAGCCGTGACCAATTTCACAACCTTCAAGGCAGCCGTGACCAATTTCACAACCTTCAAGGCAGCCGTGAGCAATTGCACAACCTTCAAGGCAGCCGTGAGCAATTTCACAACCTTCAAGGCAGCCGTGAGCAATTGCACAACCTTCAAGGCAGCCGTGAGCAATTGCACAACCTTCAAGGCAGCCGTGAGCAATTTCACAACCTTCAAGGCAGCCGTGAGCAATTTCACAACCTTCAAGGCAGCCGTGAGCAATTTCACAACCTTCAAGGCAGCCGTGAGCAATTGCACAACCTTCAAGGCAGCCGTGAGCAATTTCACAACCTTCAAGGCAGCCGTGAGCAATTTCACAACCTTCAAGGCAGCCGTGAGCAATTTCACAACCTTCAAGGCAGCCGTGAGCAATTGCACAACCTTCAAGGCAGCCGTGAGCAATTTCACAACCTTCAAGGCAGCCGTGAGCAATTTCACAACCTTCAAGGCAGCCGTGAGCAATTTCACAACCTTCAAGGCAGCCGTGAGCAATTGCACAACCTTCAAGGCAGCCGTGAGCAATTTCACAACCTTCAAGGCAGCCGTGACCAATTTCACAACCTTCAAGGCAGCCGTGACCAATTTCACAACCTTCAAGGCAGCCGTGAGCAATTGCACAACCTTCAAGGCAGCCGTGAGCAATTTCACAACCTTCAAGGCAGCCGTGAGCAATTTCACAACCTTCAAGGCAGCCGTGAGCAATTGCACAACCTTCAAGGCAGCCGTGAGCAATTTCACAACCTTCAAGGCAGCCGTGACCAATTTCACAACCTTCAAGGCAGCCGTGACCAATTTCACAACCTTCAAGGCAGCCGTGAGCAATTGCACAACCTTCAAGGCAGCCGTGAGCAATTGCACAACCTTCAAGGCAGCCGTGAGCAATTTCACAACCTTCAAGGCAGCCGTGAGCAATTGCACAACCTTCAAGGCAGCCGTGAGCAATTTCACAACCTTCAAGGCAGCCGTGACCAATTTCACAACCTTCAAGGCAGCCGTGACCAATTTCACAACCTTCAAGGCAGCCGTGAGCAATTGCACAACCTTCAAGGCAGCCGTGAGCAATTTCACAACCTTCAAGGCAGCCGTGAGCAATTTCACAACCTTCAAGGCAGCCGTGAGCAATTTCACAACCTTCAAGGCAGCCGTGGCAGATTTCACAACCTTCAGGGCAGCCGTGGCAGATTTCACAACCTTCAAGGCTTAAAATGGAAATGTATGCTCACATAATCCTGGATACCAGGAGTCTGAGATGAAGGTATGTTAGGGCTGGGCTCCCTCTGGAGTCTCTAGGGGAGGATCCTTCCTGCCTCTCCCAGCTCCCAGGGGCTCCCAGCATTCCTGGGCTCGTGGCTACACCACTCCAGTCTCTGTCTCCATGTGGCCTTCTCCTCTGTCTGGGTCTCCCCTTCTGTGTTTAGAAGGACACCTGTCCTTGCATTTAGGACCCCCTAATCTAGGACAGGTTTTATTTCAAGATCCTTCACTAATTACATTTGCAGAGATCCTGTTTCCAAGTAAGATTGCATTTATAGGTTCTGGGGAAAAGGAAATAAACATATATTTTGGGGATCACCATATAACCCATTCCAATTGTATCCAGTTCCTTCTGGAGGCTCTAGAGGAGGATCCTTCCTGCCTCTCCCAGCTCCTGGGGGCTCCAGGCATCCCTGGGCTTGTGGCCACATCACTGCAGTCTCTGCCTCTGTCTACACGTGGCCTTCTCCTCTGTGTCTGCGTCTCCTCTTCTGTCTCTTAGAACAGCTGTCATTGCATTTAGGGCCCTTCTTATATCTAGAATGAGGTTGGAACAATATTATGTGTTAACTTGACTGGATCATGGGGTGTTTAGATGTCTGATTGAATGTCACTCTGGGGTATCTGTGAGGGTGCTTCCCAGTGATGTTAGAAATTGAATTGGTAGCCTGAGAAAGGGAGATCATTTTCTCCAACATGGGATGGCCTTATCCAATCCATTCGCAGCCTCAAAAGAACAAAAAGAAGAAAAAGAGGCCGGGCACCATGGCTCACACCTGTGATCCCAGCACTTTGGGAGGCCAAGGTGGGTGAATCACGAGGTCAAGAGATTGAGACCATCCTGGCCAACATGGTGAAAGCCCATCTCTACTAAAAATACAAAAATTAGCTGGGCGTGGTGGCAGGCACCTGTAGTACCAGCTACTCGGGAGGCTGAGGCAGGAGAATTGCTTGAACCCGGGATGCAGAGGTTGCAGTGAGCCGAGATCGCACCACTGCACTCCAGCCTGAATGGCAAAGTGAGACTCCATCTCCAAAAAAAAAAAAAAAAAAAAAAAAAAAAGTCACTCATATTATCTCATTGCAAAAACCCTTCTATTTTTTAGCAATTTAGGAAAAAGTACAACATCAACGTAGGTAGCATACAATGTTTGAAATACTGCTACTCTGAGAACACTGAGAACCAACGAGCTAATGAATGCTGTCAATTCAAATGAGATTGAGATAAATGATCATGGGAAAAGAAACTGCAACGTCAAGAAATCTTTCAAATTTTATAGAAGAGAAAATTAATGAGCTTTTCCCCATAGTTGACATGGGTGCAGTAGCTCACGCCTGTAATCCTAGCACTGTGGGAGGCTGAGGGGGTAGATCACCTGAGGTCAGGAGTTCAAGACCAGGCTGAACCAACATGGAAAAACCCCTTCTCTACTAAAAATACAAAAAAAAATTAGCCGGACTTGATGGCAGGTTCCTGTAATCCCAGCTACTTGGGAGGCTGAGTCAGGAGAATGGCATGAACCCGGGAGGGCGGAGGTTGCAGCGAGCCGAGATCGCACCAGTGCACTCCAGCCTGGTGACAGAGCAAGACTCCATCTCAAACAAACAAACAAACAAAAAAACAAATTGGCTGGGTGCAGGGACCCACACCTGTAAGTAACCCCAGCACTTTGGGAGGCTGAGATGGCTGGATCACTTGAGGTCAGGAGTTCAAGACCAGACTGACCAACACAGAAAAACCCCATCGCTAGTAAAAATACAAAAAAAAAAATTAGCCGGATGTGCTGGCAGGGGCCTGTAGTCCCAGCTACTCAGGAGGCTGAGGCAGGAGAATCGCTTGCACCCAGGAGGCGGGGGTTGCAGTGAGCCGAGATCGCACCACTGCACTCTAGCCTGGCGACAGGGCAAGACTCCATCTCAAAAAAAAAACAAAAAACAAAAAACAGAAATTGGCTGGGTGCAGTACCCCACACCTGTAACCCCAGCACTTCGGGAGGCCGAGATGGCTGGATCACCTGAGGTCAGGAGTTCAAGACCAGACTGACCAACACGGAAAAACCCCATCTCTAGTAAAGATACAAAAAAAAAATTAGCCGGATGTGCTGGTAGGTGCCTGTAGTCCCAGCTACTCGGGAGGCTGAGGCAGGAGAATCACTTGCACCCGCGAGGCGGGGGTTGCAGTAAGCCGAGATTGCACCATTATACTCCAGCCTGGGCAAAACAGCAAGACTCCGTCTCAAAATAAATAAGAAATTACGATGCTCAATTATTTTTTTTTGAGACGGAGTCTTGCTCTGTTGCCCAGGCTGGAGTGCAGTGGTGTGATCTCGGCTCACTGCAACCTCCACCTCCTGGGTTCAAGCGATTCTCCTGCCTCAGCCTCCCACGTAGCTGGGATTACAGGTGTCCGCCACCACGCCTGGCTATTTTTTTTGTATTTTATTGTAGATATGGGGTTTCACTATGTTAACCAGGATGGTCTCGATCTCCTCACCCTGTGATCCGCCCGCCTCGGCCTCCCAAAGTGCTGGGATTACAGGCGTGAGCCACCGCGCCCGGCTCAAAGATACTTTTCTAAAGTCTGAAAAATAAATAAATGACAGTCAGCTGTGCTACAGGAAAGAATGAAATACCTTTCCCGTGCCTGTATGGATGAGACAAAAATCGCTGATCAAAGACCTTCCGGCTAGAAGTTGTAGGGGAAATAGGATTGGGTCTGACGGTGAATGCATAACAATGTTAGTTCTGTAAATCCTGTGATTTTGGAGGCTGCCCATCAGCTTTTCCAGATTTTGCAATTTGCTGTGATTTTATTCTAAACAAAAATTCTCTTTCATGTCTAAATGTGTATACGTAATTTTTTATTCTTTTATTTAAAAGACCCTCAAATGACCTAAGTATCTTGTCCCAGACACTATTGAACGTTTTCTGAGCACTGTGTTTCTAGAAAACAGTGAAGGGTAAGAAATCCCCCTACCTGGGCCAGGTGGGGTGGCTCATGCCTGTAATCCCACCATTGTGGGCGGCCGACATGGGCAGATCGCCTGAGGTCAGGAGTTCAAGACCAGCCAGGCCAACATGTTGAAACCCCATCTCTACTAAAAATACAGAAATTAGCTGGGTGTGGTGGTGCACGCTTGTAGTCCCAGCTACTCAGGAGGCTGAAGCAGAAGAATCACTTGAACCTGGGAGGTGGGCGTTTCAGTGAGCCAAGAATGTGCCATTTCACTCCAGGCTGGGTGACAGAGTGAGACTCCATCAAAGAAAGAAAGAGAGAGAGAGAAAGAGAGAGAAAGAAAGAGAGAGGAGAGAAAGAAGGGGGGAAGGAAGGAAAGAAGGAAGGAAAGAAGGAAGGAAAGAAGGAAGGAAGGAAGGAAGGAGAAGGGGAAGGAAGGAGGGAAGGAGGGAGGGAAGGAAGGAAGGAGGGAAGGAAGGAGGGAAGGAGGGAGGGAAGGAAGGAAGGAAGAAACCTCTGCCTCCTGGGTTCACGCCATTCTCCTGCCTCTCCCAAGTAGCTGGGACTACAGGCATGCACCACCACATCTGACTAATTTTTTGTTGTTGTATAGATGGGGTTTCACTGCATTAGCCAGGATAGTCTCAATCCCCCTTACCTTTTTGTATTCTGAGAAGTGACTTGCTGTAAACTCCTGCCTTTCTCTCATGACTTAGGAAAGATGCATGGCTGCCTTCCTCTTGATCTCCAGAGCAAGGCCAGACCAGACTCTCCAAATCCCTTCTTTTTATTTTCTTCTTAAATTTTTATTTATTTTTTATTTTTTTGAGACAGAGTTATGCTCTTGTTGCCCAGGCCGGAATGCAATAGCGTGATCTTGGTTCACTGCAACCTCTGCCTCCAGGGTTCAAGCAACTCTGTCTCAGCCTCCCGAGTAGCTGGGATTACAGGCATGCTCCACCAGGCCGAGCTAACATTGTAGTTTTAATAGAGACCGGGTTTCACCATATTGGCCAGGCTGGTCTTGAACTCCTGACCTCAGGTTATCCACCCGCATTGGCCTCCCAAAGTGCTGGGATTATAAGTGTGAGCCACAGTGCCTGGCCTCCAAATTCCTTCTTTCCTTTGTAAATGTCTAGCTGACCTGTTCATCCCCACAATCAATAGGAATAAAGTGCTTGTGGACCAAACTTGAAGTTTTCTCCTCCCCCACCCACCCCCAGCTCCTCTGAACACCCTCGTACGTTGGAACGTGGGACAGCCCCTCTTCAACAACCCCTCCTGAAAAATCAACAAACGACAAGGGGAAGTATTTCCTGATCAATTATTCTGACATGCCTCTCCCTATAAATGAAATTTGTTTCTGCCTGAGTCTTTGAGATGCTTACAAATCTTACAGTCAAGCAATCTCCCTACTGCAATTGTCTTTTCTTTTCTTTTATCGTTTTGTTGTTGTTTTGTTTTTGAGGCAGGGTCTCGCTCTGTTGCCCAGGCTAGAGTGCAGTGGTGCAATCTCGGCTCACTGCAAACTTCACCTCCCAGGTTCAAGTGATTCTCCAGCCTCAGCCTTTGGAGTAGCTGGGATTTTAGCTGTGTACTACCACGCCCGGCTATTTCTTTTTCTTTTTTTTTTTTTTTAAGTAGAGACAAGGTTTCACCATGTTGGCCAGGATAGTCTTGAACTCCTGACCTCAAGTGATCCACCGCAGCCTCCCAAAGTGCTGGGATTCCAGGCATGAGCCACCACACCCAGCCTGTAATTGTCTTTTCAAATCTCTTTCTTATCTAAATCCACATTTGTTTTTATTTTACTCCCCAGAAAACCAGCAAACACTCCTTCCTGGACGCCTATCCACTGAACACCAAAAGAGAAAAATATCCTTGTCTCTCTCTCTCTGTCTTGCTCTCTCTCTCTGACACACACACACACAGATACACAAAGAAACTAGGAGCTAGAAGGAGACCCCCTCAAGTCTAAATGAAATTATTTGCAAAGAGAGAACAGGACCAATTTCACTTCTAGCATCACAACTGCCAACATCAGTGGTGTGGAAATGAAGGGTGAGCTGTTTTTTTAATTTCTTTTTTTTGAAGGTAGGGTCTCACTGTGTTGTCCAGGCTAGAGTGAGGTGATGCAATCCTAGCTCACTGCAGTCTCAAACACCTAGGCTCAAGGGATTCTCCTACTTCAGCCGTCAGAGTAGCTGGGACTACAAGCACACACCACCACACCTGGATAATTTATTTTTATTTTTGTAGAGATGAGTGTCTTGCCATGTTGCCCAGGCTTCCAACGATCCTCCCAGCTTTAAGCAATGCTCCCACCATGGCCTTCCAAGGTGCTGGGACTACAGGCATGAAGCACTGAGCCCAGCCAACCTCTTTCATTTCCAGCAGTCACTGTGGGTCAGCTTATGAAGCAGTGTCTACCCCTTGAATCACCTTATCACAGAACAAACCTAAGAGTCATAGGAAAGGGAGGGCAGGATCCCTTTCTAGCAAATAAAGAAAGAGGAACTCAGAGAGATGAAACGACTTGACATCAGAGTGAAGACCTGGAGGAAAGAAAGTGAGCTTGGGGGTCTTGGGTTGACCCTTGGTGGGGGTGGTCTGCAGGGGAGAGGGGAAGCACCCTCAACAGTGAATGTCCCAATGTAAATGCTCCACGTGGAATCCCTGGCTCTGCAAAAGACATCTCCATCCACCAGCCCCACTTTCCACGCTACATTGACATGCTGCTGATGACAAGGTGATGATGACTGGTCACTATGGAAATAATAGAAGCTCACCCAACAGCGAGCAAGAAGAAACGATTTATCCAGGGCTTGCTATACCAAGGGAGGCAGCCACCGTCCCTTGCATTTAGCAAAAATGTAAAAGCAGGAACCCCAGATAGGAGAATCAGGAAGACTGCAGGCATGCCCTAATTAGAGGCTGTCCACATTCTAAAGCTGTAGGAGGCTCATGAGAAGTGGGGCACCCCTGGGATTGGTTAGGACGGTGTCTCTTCAGCTTTCTAATTTTTTTTTTTTTTTTTTGAGACAGAGTCTCGCTCTGTCACCCAGGCTGGAGTGCAGTGGCATGATCTCTGCTCACTGCAAGCTCCGCCTCCCGGGTTCATGCCATTCTCCTGCCTCAGCCTCCCAAGTAGCTGGGACTACAGGCACCTGCCACCATGCCAGTTTACTTTTTTTTTGTATTTTTAGTGGAGATGGGGTTTCACCATGTTAGCCAGGATGGTCTCAATCTCCTAACCTCGTGATCTGCCCGCCTCGGCCTCCCAAAGTGCTGGGATTACAGGTGTGAGCCACCACGGCCAGCCATCTAATTTTAAATCAGGGGCAAACATTAGGAAATCTGGTGGTTATGAATCAAATCTTGTTTAGGGCCCATGGTGCCTGAAGATATTGTTTGCCTTCCTGGACTGTTTGCTGGAGATAGTAATCTGACATCCTGCATGTCTGACTTGTACACAGCAGGTGACTTCCTGCGCTGGTTACAGTGGATAAGGGGTTGGTTTTCTTGGCAGGTTGTGGGTCAGAGTTTTATCTATGTAGATGGCCAGACCATTATCTGCTTGTATACTCACTCTCACATGACCATATATATGTATTCATGCTTGTTAAACATGTTTTAAACTTTTTTATGTATTTATTTATTTTAAGACAGATTGCATTTATTTATTTATTTATTTATTTTAAGACAGAGTCTCACTCTGTCTCCAAGGCTGGAGTGCAGTGGCGAGATCTCAGCTCACTGCAACCTCCGCCTCCCGGGTTCAAGGGATTCTCCTGCCTCAGCCTCCCAAGTAGCTGGGACTACAGTTGCCCACCACCAGGCTCAGCTAATTTTTGTATTTTTAGTAGAGACAGGGTTTCTCTATGTTGGCCAGGCTGGTCTTGAACTCCTGACCTCAGGTGAGCCGCCTGCCTCGGCCGCCCAAAATGCTGGGATTACAGGCGTGAGCCACCACACCCGGCCACTTTAAATCTTTTTGTTTGTTTGTTTTGTTTTGAGAGAGAGTTTTGCTCTTGTTGCCCAGGCTAGAGTGCAATGGCACGATCTTGGCTCACTGCCACCTCTGCCCTCTGGGTTCAAGTGATTCTCGTACCTCAGCCTTCCAAGTAGCTGGAATTACAGGCATGTGCCACCACGCCCAGCTAATTTTTTTGTATTTTTAGTAGAGACGGGGTTTCTCCATGTTGGCCAGGCTGGTCTTAAACTCCTGACCTCAGGTGATCCACCTGCCTCAGCCACCCAAAATGCTGGGATTACAGGCATAAGCTACCGTGCCCAGCCACTTAAAACCTTTTTAAATGTTATCTGGGCAATGCATTCACCAATATAGTATCATTGGAAAGGCGAGAATGACAGGATCACTAGAACGAATTATGCCTCTCCGCTTCACACCCTGTTTCAATTGTCCTCCATTCTCCTGGGAACCCCTGTTAATAGTTTTTGGTTCATTCTACCTGCCAGTTATCTCAATATTTTAAGGAATGCCGCTATTTTTTTTCCTAGTAGAATCATAAAATAAAGGGTTGTACCACTTGCCTTTTCCCCCTTAATGATTTGTCCTGGGGGATACTTCTGGGTTGGTTCCTCTTTGATTTTCTGCACAGCCTGCGTTGCATTGTGGACCAGAGCTCATTTCACCTGCGGGAGCATCTGTTTCTTTTTTGACATCTATGGAGAGGGAATCCACTATTGTCTGGATGCTGGTGGGAGGCCAGGCTTTGCTCCTTGTTAGACAGACCCAAAGAGACAGATACTTGTCTTCGTTGCATTGCCGTCAAGATGTGAAGTGATGATTTATGCCTGACCTCAAAGATGTCTTATCAGGGACCTTCAAAATTCTGAGGGAAGGATGTAACAAAACAAAAAAAGTTCAGTAGTTATTCGTGATGGAAGCAAGAATGCTTCAACAGAGTCTGGGGTCTACAGGTAATTCAACAAAGCTGTGTCCTAAGCAGGCTGTGTATAACTGGGGCATGGCAGGTATACACATGGACTTCTTATCCACCAGCCTTCATGGGGTTCTACTTATAATTCCCTAATCTTCTCATCCTTTATCTGACCTGCCCGATATCTATTAAATTTCTTCAATCAACTAGAGTCTGTTTCTCTTGCTGGCAACCAACAACTGTACATAACCCTTAACCATCAACCTATAAATTGATTCCAACTCATTCCCAGTGTTTTGCAAATAAATACCTTTTTGCAGCCAATTCCCTTTACACAGTCTTTGTGCACCTGCGACCTGCAGGCTACACTCCTACACATTGAATTGCTGGTTCAATGGATGGGTACTTTTTTAATCTCTCCAAATAATGTGTAAATGGGCCATCTAGAGTTGATGTTACCAGTTTCCACCCTTAACAGAGAATCCTTTTGCCCGATACCCTGAAACGTGTCAGTATTGTCCATTTTCTTTGTATGTTTGCCAAATGTATGGACAATTATGGCCTCTTTTTTTTTAATGTTGTATTTCTTTCCTTATCTGGCATGTTGATTATCTTTTCACAAAAGCACTTACCATTTGTAATTATTTGGTACGGTGTACATTGCTGAGGTCAGGTGTATAGGGAAATGCTATTTCTTAGTGAAGGATGAAAAAAAGTTTTTATTTTAAAGAGGAAAAAAAAAAGCTGCCATGTGGGAGACCTGAGAAGCCTCCTGAGATGTCAGACATTGGGGGTTTCATTGACAGTTTCAGCCACTGCTCTGAAACCCACTGGAACACCGGCCACAGAGACCACATGTGCACGGCTGCCCCAACACCCCAGGACTGACTCTGCAGGGATACTGAGGCAGACCCATCCCTGGGAGAAGCAGCAGCAGCACTCCTAACTTTGGATCCAAGATTCCTGGCGGCCGTGCCAACAAGCTATGCAAACAGCATTGCAGCCTTAGTTCTCTCTCTCGTCTCCTTCACTTCCTGCGGCATGGTTAGAGCTGCAGCAGTCAGATGTGCAGTGAGATGAGCACTGCGTGGGGTCTGGTCAGAGCTGCAGGATGGTCAAAGCTGAAGCAAGATCAGATGTAAGGTCTGCACAGAGCTGCAGGATGGTTACAGCTGAAGTGTAGTCGGATCTACAGTAGGGTCAGAGCTGTGGCACAATCAGACCTGCACTATGGTCAGAGCTGAGATATGGTCAGAGTTGCGGTATGATCACAGCTGCAGTACAGTCAGAGCTGAGATACGCTCAAAGCTGTGCTATGCTCAGAGCTGTGGTATGATTAGAGCTCCAGGATAGCGAGATCTACAGCATAGTGAGAGCTACGGTAGAGTCAGAGCTGTGCTATGGCCAGATCTGTGCTATGGTCAGAGCTGAGGTATGGTCACAGTTGCGGTATAGTCAGAGCTGTGCTATGCTGAGAGCTGCCGTACAGTCAGAGCTGCGGTATGATTGGAGCTGTGCTGTGGCAGGAGCTGCAATATGGTCTCAGCTGCAGTATAGTCCAATCTACAGTAAAGTCAGAGCTGGGGTATAGTCAGAGCTGTGCTGTGGTCGGAGCCGTGGTATGGTCAGAGCTGCAGTATGGAGTTTGAGGCTGCAGTGAGCTACGATTGCACCACTGTACTCCAGCCTGAGCAATAGAGCAGGACCCCCTCTCAAAATAATGATAAGATTAATAATAATAGTTCAGTTTTGCAATTTTTTTCTAACAAATGTAAAATAGTACTAATTCATAACGACTCTAACCCATCAGTCTCTCCTGTTGCTAGCCAAGTTCAGCTGCCAACTTCAGTGTCCAGCTATGTAGCAAATGCCACCTATACTGAGAGGGCTCAGTAGAGCATGAGGACTTTGAGAGCTTTCTGAGATAAATCAAACCGAAGAGTCACAGCTCTGAGTGTGTATTCAACCACCTAAATTTAATTCAACATAAGCAGATGGTTTGTAAGTGCTATGGTTAGAATATGGTTTGCCCTTACCAAAAGTCATGTTGAGGCTGGGTCCCCAATGTAAGAGTGTTTAGATGAGGCTCTGCCCTCGTGAATGGATTAATCCCTTCATGAATTAATCAATTAATGAGTTATCTAAGGTGTGGGTTAGTTATCAGAAGAGCAGGTCTGTGATCAAAAGCCAGGTTGTTTTTCTCGGAGGCCTGCCCCATCTCAAAACTCTCCAGAGAGAGTCCCCACTAGCAAGAAGGTCCTCACCAGATGCAGCTCCTCATTGTTGGACTTCCCAGCCTCCAGAACTGTCATAAGTATATTTCTTTTCGTTACAAATTACCGAGTCTTAGGTATTCGGTCATAGCAACAAAAAACAGACTAAGATAGTGAGTGTTCCAGTATGCCACGGTGAGTTTCATTTTACATCCTCTATCATGCTTCTGCTAGATGGCCTGATTTGTCTATAGGTGAGTTTCATTTTACATCCATTATTTCCTGCTTCTGCTAGAGGGCCTGATTTGTCTATAGGTGAGTTTCATTTTTACATCCATTCTTTCATGCTTCTGCTAGATGGCCTGATTTGTCTATAGGTGAGTTTCATTTTACATCCATTCTTTCCTGTTTCTGCTAGAGGGTCTGATTTGTCTATAGGTGAGTTTCATTTTTACATCCATTCTTTCATGCTTCTGCTAGAGGGCCTGATTTGTCTATAGGTGAGTTTCATTTTACATCCATTATTTCATGCTTCTGCTAGAGGGTCTGATTTGTCTATAGGTGAGTTTCATTTTACATCCATTCTTTCATGCTTCTGCTAGATGGCCTGATTTGTCTATAACCATCAGCTCTTTTAAGATGGCCCTGAATTTCTTTTAGAATTTTAAGGTAATGAATGCCCCTGGGAAGGTTTAAAAACTCACAAATCATGTCAAAATCGGTTTCAATCAAATACCAACCCTTTACTTCAGAATTTATCTGAGCTTCTGTTAGAATACAAGCCATCCAGGGAAGGAGGAAGGATCTTAGGTTTTTACCAACAGTGACCTTGGGCAAAGATTTCTTCCCTTTTCAAGTTTCTCCTAAGTTTAGTGGGGATGTGCATGAAGAGTGAGATGATCTCTGTAGAAGATTCTGCCCACTACCACCTTCTTTGCCATAGGAGGATTTTTGTCATCAGTCACTCCCTCTTTTCACCGAATTTCCAGCATTCTTTTCAAAATAGTCCTCCAGACCCCGGTGTGCTAAGTCCACCCCGGGTAGAAATTCCCTAGCAAGCCACAGATATGTCACAAATGCTATGGACGAGAGTGCTCCCAGGTACCTGATTGACAGTATCTGCAAATGGGAAACTTCTGAAATGCCCATCAGCAGCAGAGTGGATCAATAAGTCTCGATGTGTTGACCCAAGAAAATGCTAAACGTCGTTGACAATGAAACAGCTATATTGACACGCCATGACATGGATGAATCTCACAAACATCATCTTAGGCAGAAAAGGCTGAATTATACCCTGAACCCCCAAAATCACCTACTCTATATGATGTATTTGCATGAAGTATGAAAATGTTCAAAACTACCAGCAGCGTTAGAAGACCGTGATGGCAGCAGAGGGATGGTGACTGTCAGCAGGCGTGTGTGGAGCTCTCCAGGGAGCTGCTAGTGGTGAGTCACCATCTGGATCTCAGTCTGTTTATGGGTAGTTTCATTTGGGGAAATAACCTGGGCATGCTCTTTTGATCTAAGAATGCTTTCCATCTATGCTGTGCATTGATACGTTATAAAAGAGCCCTCCACGCATTCCTTACCTATGAATTTTTTTTTTTTTTTTTTTGAGATGGAGTCTTGCTCTGTTTCCCAGGCTGGAGTGCAGTGGTGCAATCTTAGCTCACTGCAAGCTCTGCCTTCCCCGGTTCACGCCATTCTCCTGTCTCAGCCTCCTGAGTAGCTGGGACTACAGGCTCCCACCACCATGCCCAGCTAATTTTTGTATTTTTAGTAGAGACGGGGTTTCACCGTGTTAGCAAGGATGGTCTCGATCTCCTGACCTCGTGATCCGCCTGCCTCGGCCTCCCAAAGTACTGGGATTACAGGCATGAGCCACCGCACCCGGCCAACCAATGAATCTTAATTCCCTCGCGTGATAAACTAAGGACAAGCACCAGCAAGGAAAAGATAAGCTTTAGTGCACAATTAAGCGAATTAAAACAGAGACCGCCAGCCCTGCCAGCAACACTCGCAGACACAGTAATAATGCCTGTGATTTCTTCATGTTTTCCCAAGAAGAAAGCTCACCAAAGCATAGTTACATCCAGTGCCTGTGGTTGGTAGATGCTGCATTCGGTACCGGATCCCCTTGGGAAAAAAACAACAACAACAGATGAACTGGGCTTACAGGCAGCAGAACAAAGACGGATGAAGGATAGAAACTCATTCTTCTCCCTGTTCTTCCCACTTACCCAGTGCTTAACGCCAAAGTCTGCTTTCTGAGCTTCTAGTTTCTCTCTTTAAGTCTCAAAAGTAGACTATGTGACTCTTGTGTCATGAGTATGTCTAACTAGTCTTTGGAGTAAAACCAAAACAAATCTAGCATTTCAGTTGATTAATTCTGTATTCTTATGTAGGATATTATTTTAACACAATGTTGGGAATTTCCCTCTTCCCCACCCCAAAATGCTGCAGGACAAGTCATTCCCCAATGTAGGTGGTATGACTACATTTATACTTGTCACATATTTCAATGTGTTACATTTGCCTGAAATCATAATTAAAACACGATTCGGAACTAAATTTGGGGCTTGCATCTGCTATGACCTTACCATTTGCCTAAGCCCAAATTCTTCCTCGGCAGCACAAAATTGACACTTTTCTGAAACTCAGGTTGTTCCCTGACACGGGAGAACAGCCTGCCTGCTGAAATTAAGGGGTGACACTTGGACTGCAGCCTGGCTGTCTGAGACCTTCAGGAGCAGAGAAGAGAAGCATAGCTGCACGGCAGGGTGAGGCGATGTCAACAGAGGCACGTTGCTCCCCTGACAAATGCAATGAACCTCCAAATCTGACATTTCCAGAAGGTAAACAAACTTAGCTGAGCTGTCTGCGTTCCCTGGAGCAGCTCTGAAGGTCTTTGCTGCCTGCTTTGAAGATGGTGACTCAGTGCTTCCTACAATGAAATTTATTCCAAGGGCTGCAAAGGCACAGTTGAAAAGCCGACCCTACCATCAGCATCAAAGCTACCTCAGGAAACAACAGGGCTGATGGCACCTCAGCTACATGTGTGTCTAATTACTATCAAAGAATCAGAATCAAGATAACCAGGAACCCAGTCCATCCTCACCCTGCTTGCTTCCTGTGGGCAGAAGCCTGGTGATTACAAGCTCTCAGCCACACTGACTGAAGCTGCAAACCCAGAACTGTCATAAACTTTTCCAGGCATGCACAGCTAGTCCTGAAACCCTCTAGGTCTCAGTTGGTGCACCTGTAACTTCAGATAATAATGGTGTAACCATGATGAGAAGGCTGTAAAATTAAACGAGGCAACGCACATAAAGGAAGCTCTTGGGATAGCCCCTTAGACACTGCAAGAGCTGGGTAAATGTCAACTATCACTGTTATGATTTTAGTTATTAACAAGAGTAAGCTCTGCCTCCAGTTCCCCAAGGTACCCTGAGCTGTAAAATCCAGGAGGCTCCAAATCCAGGAGGCTCCTACATCTGGATGATATGGATGAATCTCACAAACATCATATTGGGCAGAAAAAGCCGAATTATACCTTCAGCCCACAAAAGGAATCAACGACTGAGACTTTTGCTGAACAAAACTGGGGTAGGCAACATTTGGGACTGTCCTTACCACGTCTCAACCTGTATTCCATGGCCTCCCTTTTCCCTAGCTCCTGAAACGTCAGGTCCTGCCACTGGGAACTGTTGCCATGGTGCCCCAACAAAGTCTGCCCCCATGTGGTTGGCCCTAGGAACATTTTTCTTCTACCAGTCATGTCTTCTCAACCTGCCATCGGAAAGTATTCAACACCGGCTGAGTGCGATGGCCCACACCTGTAATCCCAGCAATCTGGGAGGCCAAGGTGGGAGGATTGCTTGAGGTCAGGAGTTCAAGGCCAGCCTGGGCAACATCACTGTGTTGCTCAGGCTGGAGTGCAGTGGGTGCAATCATGGCTCCCTGTAGCCTCAAACTCCTAGGCTCAAACAATCCTCCCACCTCAGCCTTCAAAGTAGCTGGGACTACAAGTGTGCACCATTACACCTGGCTATTTTTTATTTTTTTTGTACAGATGAAGATCTCAGCATTACAATATCAGCCAGCTGTGGTGGCACAGAGCTGTGGTTCCAGCTACTCAGAAGGCTGAGTTGAGGGGATATCTTGAGCCCAGGAGTTCAAGGGGGCTGTGAGCTATGTGATTGCCACTGCGCTTCAGCATGGGCAGCAGAGGAAGACTCTGTCTCAAAGAAAAAACAAAAAGGTATCCATCACTGAGGTCTCAACACCACAAGTATACAAGCATCTTGTTGTGAGCTGATTAATTTGATTCCTCCAAATAAGACCATTTTCAAATCATGTAGTGAGACCTGGATCTCTCCATGGGATACCTTTAACAGGGAATTTTTAGGACGCTCAAGTTTCAGCAGTATTCAGCTCTGATCTTTAACCTTACTAGACTAAAATGTGGTCACCCCTACAGCACAGCCAGGGAACATGTCCTGGAAAATGTCTTCATTGGGTCATTTTCCTTCATCTGTCCACTCTGTGTCTAGACCTCCCTGAACACATTGCTTGGGAAACAAGCAAAATTAAGCTGCTGCCTCTTTATATGAATGCTCTTGTACAAGTGCCAAATGATTTGTTAAGTCCTTGCACCAAGGAATACAAGGTAGAAAATGCTCGTGGAACTAAGGGTCTATATTATTAGCTAGTGTTTTTTGCACAAAGCAGCGTTTTCATTCTATTAACACACAGCTCAACAAAGTAATTCGATGAAAAGTAAATTGTCAATATGTGTATTAGTCAGGACAGACCAGGTGATGCTGCTATAACAAACAATCCCAGAATCTCAGCAGCTAACATCACCAAAGTCTGTTTCTCACCCATACCACCTGCTCACCAATGGGGGCTTCACTATTTGTCATCTTAAGACTAGGACCCAGGGGGATAAAGCAGCCCTGTTCTGGAATACTTCCACTCTCAGGGAGGGAGAGAGAGAACAAAAGATGTTCTCCAAATAGGAACGCTTTTACACTGTTGAGTGTAAATTAGTTCAACCATTGTGGAAGACAGTGGGGCAATTCTTCAAGGATCTAGAACCAGAAATGCCATTTGACCCAGCAATCCCATTACTGCGCAAATACCCAAAGTATTGTAAATCATTCTGCCATAAAGACACATGCACACGTATGTTTATTGCAGCACTATTTACAATAGCAAAAACAGTGAACCAACCCAAATGCCCATCAATGATAGACTGGATAAAGAAAATGTGGCACATATATACTATGAATTACTAAGCAGCCATAAAAAAGAATGAGTTCATGTCCTTTGCAAGGACATGGATGAAGCTGGAAGCCATCATTCTCAGCAAACTAACACAGACACAGAAAACCAAACACCACATGTTCTCACTCATAAGTAGGAGTTGAACAATGAGATCACATGGACACAGGGAGGGGAACATCATACACCAGGGCCTGTCAGGGGGTTGAGGGTGAGGGGAGGGAGAACATTAGGACAAATACCTAACGCACGTGGGGCTTAAAACCTAGATGATGGGTTGATAGGTGCAGGAAACCATCATGGCACATGTACACCAGTATAACAAACCTGCACGTTCTGCAGATGTATCCCAGAACTTAAAGTAAAATAAATATTTTCAAAAAATTATGTTCTCCAAGGGCAACCACGACCCAGGCTTCTGGGAGGAAGTGACACACCTCACTTCTGCTCAAATTCACAGTCCTTGGTGGTGTCTGAATTTAGTGGCATGGAAAAGTGTGATTCTCTGAAGCCAGGGGCACCTATATTTGTAAGCGATGAAAAAATTCTACTGTAAGAAGAAAATAAAAAATGGTTCGTACTTTACTACTCACCTGTATTCTGCTAACAGGAGGGGAAAAGTTGAAGCTTTTGAGATACATCACCAGAAAAAAAAAAAAAAAAAGCCATCAGAAAATAATACGTTCTTGATCCAGAAATTTCAAAGGCAGTTTTCTGCCAAGAGAGGGCTATGAAAATGCATCACTGGCTTTTATGGGGTTTGCAGGAATAAAAACATTCCCTTCTGTATATGACACAAAATCAAAGGTAATTGACGTGTTTCTAAAAAATTCCCCGTTTTACTTCTGTAACAAAAAAGAACAATAATAGCTAAGCTGAACAGATGTCAGTAGAACCTATTTTCCCAAGCTAACGACAAAACATCCCTCCTCAAAATCCCAGCCACTACAAACTGTTAAAGCTGCATATCTTACTGCTCTTATATTTAAGATGTCAGGAGGATGTGAATTTTTAATTAAGCCAGTCTTGTGAAAAGGCCTCACACATTATATATGGTTGGTTGCAAAATGGATCTTCGCACAAAGACAAGTGCTTGGGAATGATGTGTTTCATTTAGGAGATAGATCAGCAGGGATACTACAAATTTGCACTCTGAATCTTCCTTCCAATAGAAATCTCCCAATAGAAATAGGGTTTTGAGGAGTATATTACTTGGCTAAAGCCTCCATAACAAATCACCACAGACTGGGTGACTTAAACAATATATACTTATTTCCCACAGTCCTGGAGGCTAGAAATCTGAGATCAAGGTGTGGGCAGGGCTGGTTCCTCCTGAGGCGTCTCTCCTGGGGTTGTAGACACTGTCTTCTCCCTGTGTTCTCACAGGGTCGTCCCTCTGTGTGCGTCTGAATCTTCATCTCCTCTGCTTATGGGATGTCTTAGTCCATTTCAGGCTGCTAGCACAGAATACCATAGACTTAGTGGCTTATAAACAACAGACATTGATTCTCCCAAGTCTTGGAGGCTGGAAGTCCCAGATCCAGGTGAGGGCAGGGCTGGTTCCTCCTGAGGCCTCTCTCCTGGGCTTGGAGACACTGTCTTCTCCCTGTGTCCTCACAGGGTCATCCCTGTGTGTGTGTCTGTGTCCTCGTCTCTTCTTCTTATGGGATGTCTTAGTCCATTTCAGGCTGCTATCACAGAATATCATAGACTCGGTGGCTTATAAACAACAGACATTGATTCTCCCACAGTCCTAGAGGCTGGAAGTCTGAGATCCAGGTGTGGGCAGGGCTGGTTCCTCCTGAGGCCTCTCTCCTGGGCTTGGAGACACTGTCTTCTCCCTGTGTCCTCACAGGGTCATCCCTCTGTGTGTGTTTGTGTCCTCATCTCCTTTTCTTGTAAAGATACCATAGCTATAGGAGCAGGGCTCACCCTAATAACCTCATTGTGCCTTAATCACCTCTTTAAAGACCCCATCTCCAAACACAGTCACAGTCTGAAGTCCTGGGGATCAAGACTTCCATGTATAAAATTGGAGACGGACACAATTTGGCCCATAACAGGCAGTTGGCAACCCCAGGAGCCCAGAATAAGAGCTGTTGCTCCAGGAAACCTGTAAAACCCATCCGACATGTCTCTGCTCCTACAGTCTCGCTTTTGTCAGTCAGTCACCCCTCCAGCCCCGATCTCTCCCCCAGTGTCTGGTGTCTTTAGGAAGAGAGTTAACAGAGGACCGAAGTGTGAGCACTTGTTTCCGAAGAGTCTGTTGTCTGGAATATTTATGTGGTCAGAAGGGAGAAGTGATTTTTACAAGAGAGAAAGACAAGCCATCCCCGAGGTTTGGAGAGGATGACGGAACGATTGATGTGAAATGCCTGGTAGACTTTCAATCATGTCATTTCCAAGCACATCTCCCAAATCTCCAAATGAGCATATGTGTCAGGCTTTTGAGGAGTATATTAGTTGGCTAAGGCCGCCATTACAAAGGACCACAGACCAGGTCGTTTAAACAATAGGTATTTATTTCCCAGAGTTCTGGAGGCTGGAAGTCTGAGATCAAGGCATTGCAGGGCTGCTTCCTCCTGCAGCCTCTCTCCTTGGCTTGTAGATGCCATCTTCTCCCTGAGAACTCACAGGGTCTTCCATCTGTGTGTGTCTGTGTCCTCCTCTCCTCATTTCAGCCCTACATGAAAAGGTAGCTATGAGTATGGGGCCCTGTCTTAGTCCATTTTATGTTGCCAGAAAGGAACACCTGAGGCTGGGTATTTTATAAAGTAGTTCATTTGGCTCACAGTTCTGTAGGCTGTACAAGAAGCTTAGCACCAGCATCTTCTTCTCAAGAAGGATCTTGAGGACCTCAAGGAGCTTCCACTCATGACGGAAGGCAGAGGGGAGCCAGTGTGTAGAGATCACACAGAGACACAGGAAGAAAGAGAGACGGGTTGGAGGTGCCAGACTCTTCTGACAAGCATTTCTTGAGGGAATTGATAGAGTGAGAACTCACTCAGCCCTGAGGGAGGGCATTAATCTATTCAGGAGGGAACCACCCTCAGGACCCAAACATCTCCCACTACCCCCACCTCCAACACTGGAGATCAAATTTCAACATGACATTTGGTGGGAACAAATAACCCATATCCAAACTACGGTAACTCCCAAAGGTTAGCAGTTTCACGGATACATATTGAACTTTTTCCCAAAGCCGTTGCCTTCCTTGAACATCAGCTGAGCAAAGGGTAATCTCCCAAATTCACAAGATCAACATAGCTCTTGGTCAGTCTCTGATAAAACAGAATTATCTCCTCTGTGATGAATTACTGGCTCTGTACAGATAATTTCACCCCAAAATATGGCTCCTTTGCAAAACGAATATTTTAAATTAAAAACCCTTAAAGATTAAAAGACCTTGGAAGGGACTTTTCCCCATTGACATAAAAACCAGAGACATCCACCAAGTAAAACATTTTTTTTTTCCGTTCTGTATTAGTCTGTTCTCACGCTGCTAATGAAGACATATCCAAGACTAGGTAATGTATAAAGGAAACAGGTTTAATGGACTCACAGTTCCACATGGCTGGGGAAGACTCACAATCATGGCGGAAGGCAAAGGAGGAGAAAAAGCACATCTTCCATGGCGGCAGGCAAGAGGGCATGTGCAGCGGAACCTGGCTTTATAAAACCATCAGATCCTGTGAGACTTAATCACTATCATAAGAACAACACAGGAAGCACCTGCCCCCCATCATTCAATGACCTCCCACAGGGTCCCTCCCTGAACATGTCGGGATTATTACAATTCACTTTCCCTCCCTCCCTGGGATCTTCTTCTTGACTACAGGAAAGAACGTTAAGATGTAAGCCCGCTCAAACAGACTTTTTTACAAAGTAATGACTGGTCTCCAAGGAGTATTTAATTTCCAAAGGGAACCATTAATAAGTCAATCTCTGTTTCCTCCCCCTATTCATTCTCCCAAGTATCCATTCAATCTTCCTAGTCATCACTTATTACCACTCAACAGAATTACCTACATTCCCATGTCCCCTCTCGCCACCTGAAAGGAGGTTACAGAAGTATTTTGCCCCCATTGGGAGATTGAGTATACACTCTGTGATTCTCTTCATGCTCACAGTTTAAAAAAAAAAAAAATTGTATGTCTTTTCTCTGATTAATCTTCCTCATGATGAGTTGATTTGCAGTAAGCCCCACAAGGGCAAAGGACAAGATTTCCCTTGGGAAGCCAAAATAGCTGCTAGGCGACAAACTGTCAGGGAAGGAAGTGTGTGCTGAGAGCAAGCATCCGTTTCTTTCACCATGCATCTTCCAGATGGCCAAGGGCAGCTCTGAAAATACTTGTGAAGAAAAGAACACAACAATGAAGCTGGGATAGAGAGGCACCTGCCTGGAAACTTAATAAGCATGATGTTTGTTGGGTGTTTCCTTACCATGGTGGGCTAGATAGGGTCCTGAAAACAGTATGTTCATGCCGTAATCCCTGGAACGTAGTGTCAGAGGCGTTGGGACCAGAGTGAATGTATCTTGAATACAGAGCTGGGTAAAATGAGGCTGAGACGTACTGGGCTGCATTCCCAGGAGGTTAGGCATTGTAAGTCACAGGATGAGATAGGAGGTCGGCACAAGATACAGGCCATAAAGACCCTGCTGATTAAACAGGTTGTAGTAAAGAAGCCGGACAAATCCCACCAAATCCAAGATGGCAAAGAGAGCAACCTCTGGTCATCCTCACTGCTCTTTATACACTAATTATAACGTGTTAGCATGCTCAAAGACACTCCCACCAGCGCCAGGACAGTTTACAAATGCCATGGCCATGACTCAAAGTTACCCTGTATGGTCTAAAAGGGGGAGGAACCCTTCACTCTGGGAAATCTCCTCCACTGTGCAGAAAAACTCATCAATAATCCACCTTGTTTACCATACCATCAAGAAACAACCACAAAAATATCCAACCAGCAGCCCTCAGGGCTGCTCTGCGATGGAGTAGCTATTCTTTATTTCTTTACTTACTTTTTCTTTTTTGAGATGGAGATTCACTCTTGTTGCCCAGGCTGGAGTGCAGTGGCGCCATCTTGGCTCACTGCAACCTCCACCTGCTGGATTCAAGCAATTCTCCTGCCTCAGCCTCCCAAGTAGCTGGGATTTGCAGGCATGTGCCACCACACCCGGCTGATTTTGTATTTTTAATAGAGACAGGGTTTCACCATGTTGGTCAGGCTGGTCTCGAACTCTTGGCCTCAAGTGATCTACCCGCCTTGGCCTCCCAAAGTGTTAGGATTACAGGCATGAGCCACTGCGCCCAGCCTATTCCTTTACTTTCTTAAGAAACTTGCTTTCACTCTAGTCTAGGGACTTGCCCCAAATTCTTTCTTGCCTGAGGTCCAAGAACCCTCTCTTGGGGTCTGGAGAGGGACCCTTTTTTTTTTTTCTTTTTCTTCTTTTTTGAGACGGAATCTTGTTCTGTCACCCAAGGCTGGAGTGCAGTGGCGTGATCTCGGCTCACTGCAAGCTCTGTCTCCTGGGTTCACACCATTCTCCTGCCTCAGCCTCCGGAGTAGCTGGGACCACAGGTGCCCACCACCATGCCCGGCTAATTCTTTGTATTTTTAGTAAAGACGGGGTTTCACCGTGTTAGCCAGGATGGTCTCGATGTCCTGACCTTGTGATCTGCCTGCCTCAGCCTCCCATAGTGCTGGGATGACAGGCGTGAACCACTGCACCTGACCCGAGAGGGAGCCCTTTTAGTAACACTAGGATTGTGACCTACAGGACCAGGACATATGCCTCCCCTGATAAGCCAATCCTAGGGTAGCCCTGTGCAGTTTCAGGACCAATTTTCCTTCCAACAAGCTCTCAATGCTCTTCTCCACAGGCACATCAAGCTCCTGTGCTACTCCAAGCAAAGCAGACGCAGACTGTCCCCCGAAGGGCATCTGGCACGGGCAAAGATTCTCTGATGTCTCTTCAGATGTTTGCATAAGGATTTGCTTATGCAACTGAGAAAAGAGGAGAATCCTGTTTCTTCCTTATGTTCAATGACAGGAAGAGTGGGAGTTTGCTTGTGTGGAGATAAGCTCTGTGCTCTTGAGCTCACCTTGTAGGAGAAGGAATATGCCAGGAAGATCCACAGATGCTCTCTTATCCCTCCCTTTTCTTTCCAGGCTGGAAGTCCCTTCCAAGAACAGCGAGACTGCAATTCATAACCGTAAAGCAGGAACGTAAGGTGGGTTTGCATGTTAACAGCACGAATCAACACTAACCGGAGAAATTACGGGAAAAATGATGGGATGGTGCGTCCTGAGAAACGACGGTGCTTTGGGTTGAGTGAGCTGGTGAGTGAACACGAGGTGAACAGTGGATGTCGCTTTTTCGTTATCATTGGAAACATCTGATTGATCACAACAAGCTTTTCTTTTTTTTTTTTTTTCTTTTTTTGAGACTGAGTCTCCCTCTGTCACCAGGCTGGAGTGCAATGGCATGATCTCGGCTCACTGCAACCTCCACCTGCTGGGTTCAAGCGATTCTCCTGCCTCAGCCCCCCGAGTAGCTGGGGCTACAGGCGCCCGCCACCATGCCCAGCTAATTTTTTGTAGAGATGGGGTTTCACCATGTTGGTCAGGCTGGTCTCGAACTCCTGACCTCGTGATCCGTTCCCCGCCCCCACCCCCCCTTGGCCTCCCAAAATGCTGGGACTACAGGCGAGAGCCACCGTGCCTGGCCACAGGAAGCTTTTCTAAATTACATTTATGTGAGCTTCCCTGCAGGTCACTGTGATACATGAAGGGAACCCTAAAGGGTAAATATTTTTGTCTTTTCTTTTCCTCGTGATTTTTCTCCACTGGGAGACAGGAGTCAATACAAACATCAAAGGGCTATGTCGTCTATTTCATTAGGATAAAATAAGTTACCTGGAATTCTGCCAAGAGCTTTGGAGAAGGAAAGTTAACTACACCGGCGCGGTGGCTCACGCCTGTAATCCCAGCACTTTGGGAGGCCAAGCAAGGCAGGCGGATCACCTGAGGTCCAAGGTTCGAGACCAGCCTGGCAACATGGTGAAACTTGGTCTTTACTAAAAATACAAAAATTAGCCGGGCATGGTGGCAGGTGCCTGTAGTTCCAGCTGATCAGCAGGCTGAGGCAGGAGAATCACTTGAACCCAGGAGGCAGAGGTTGCAGTGAGCCAAGATCGTGCCACTACACTATTACAGCCTGGGCGACAGAGCAAAACTCCAAAATCACACGCACACACACAAAATGTAAAGAATAAGCTGGGTACAGGGGCTCATACCTGTAATCCCAGCACATTGGGAGGCCAAGGCAGGCAGATCACCTGAGGTCAGGAGTTCGAGACCAGCCTGGCCGACATGGTGAAACTTAGTCTTTACTAAAAATACAAAAATTAGCCGGGCATGGTGACGCATGCCTGTAGTTACAGCTGATCAGCAGGCTGAGGCAGGAGAATTGCTTGAACCCAGGAGGCAGAGGTTGCAGTGAGCTGAGATCCTGCCACTACACTATTCCAGTCTGGGTGACAGAGCAAGACTCCAAAATAACATGCATACACACACACAAAATTTAAAGAATAGGCTGGGTGCAGGGGCTCAGGCCTGTAATCCCAGCATGTTGGGAGGCCGAGGTAGGCAGATCACCTGAGGTCAGGAGTTCGACACCAGCCTGGCCAACATGGTGAAACTCTGTCTCTACTAAAAATACAAAAAGTAGCCAAGCATGGTGGCGCACGCCTGTAATCCCAACTAATCAGGAGGCTGAGGCAGGAGAATCACTTGAACCCAGGAGGCAGAGGTTGCAGTGAGCCAAGATCGTGCCACTGCACTATTCCAGCCTGGGTGACAGAGCAAGACTCCAACTCACACACACACACACACAAGAAAAATTTAAAGAATAGGCCAGATGCAGTAGATCATGCCTGTAATCCCAGAACTTTGGGAGGCTGAGGCGGGCAGATCACCTGAGGTCAGGAGTTCAAGACCAGCCCGGCCAACATGGTGAAACCCTGTCTTTACTAAAAATATAAAAATTAGCCAGACATGGTGGCACACGCCTGTAGTCCCAGCTAATCAGGAGATTGAGGCAGGAGAATCGCTTGAACCCAGGAGGCAGAGGTTGCAGTGAGCCAAGATCGTGCCACTGCACTATTCCAGCCTGGGTGACAGAGCAAGACTCCAACTCACACACACACACACACACACACACACACAAGAAAAATTTAAAGAATAGGCCAGATGCAGTGGCTCATGCCTGTAATCCCAGCACTTTGGGAGGCCGAGGCATGCAGATCACCTGAGGTCCAGAGTTTGAGACCAGTCTGGCCAACATGGTGAAACTCTGTCTTTACTAAAAATACAAAAATTAGCCAGGCATGGTGATGTATGCCTGTAGTTCCAGCTAATCAGGAGGCTGAGGCAGGAGAATCGCTTGACCCCAGGAGACGGAGGTTGCAATGACCAAAGATCACACCACTGAACTACTCCAGCCTGGGCGACAGAGTGAGACTCCAACTCTCACACACAGACACACATACAATTTAAAGAATAGGCCAAGTGCAGTGGCTCATGCCCATAATCCCAGCAGTTTCAGAGGCCAAGGAGGGTGGATCACTTGAGCCCAGGAGTTCGAGACCAGCCTGGGCAACATAGTGAGACCCCTGTCTCTACAGAAAATATAAAAATTACCTAGGCATGGTGTTGCACACTTGTGGTCCCAGCTACTTGGGAGGCTGAGACAGGATGATCACTTGGGCCCAGGAGGTGGAAACAGCAGTGAGCCAAGATCGCACCACTGCATTTCAGCCTGGGCCACAGAGAGATCCTGTCACACACACACACACACACACACACACACACACACACACACAAACCCAAATTAAAAAATACAATTCTGGCCAGTCACGGGGGCTCATGCCTGTAATCCCAGCACTTTGGGAGGCCGAGGCGGGCGGATCACCTGAGGTCAGGAGTTTGAGACCAGCCTGGCCAAGATGGTGAAACCCCCTCTCTACTAAAAATACAAAAATTAGCCAGGCGAGGTGGTGCGTGCCTGTAACCCCAGTGGCTGGGCACGGTGGCTCCTGCCTGTAATCCCAGCACTTTGGGAGGCCAATCACTTTGGAGGGGGCGGATCACAAGTTCAGGAGTTCGAGACCAGCTTGGCCAATATGGTGAAACCCTATCTCTACTAAAAATACAAAAATTAGCCAGGCGAGGTGGGGCGTGCCTGTAATCCCAGCTACTCGGGAGGCTGAGGCAGAAGAATCACTTGAACCCGGGACACGGAGGTTGCAGTGAGCCGAGATCGTGCCACTGCACTCCAGCCTAGGCAACAAAGAGAGACTCCATCTCAAAAAAAAAAAAAAAAAAAAAAAATACACTTCTCACGTTTCCAACGGACTGAATGGGTCCCCTGTTGGCCAAGGGGTTCTCAAAGCAACCTGAGAAGCTAGTTCAGGCCATGACAGGAAATGGGGGTTGGACCTGCCTCCCTTGGAAGTTTAGGCACCACTGACCAGCATTAACATTTAAAACAGAGAGTTTAAGATGGACCAGACTTTTTGTGCAATGAGATCCCAAACTCCGATTTGACTCTGGTAGAGCGTTACATGACAGATAGCAGGCCTTGAAGGAATCAAAGTATTTGACCCCAATGGCCCTGCAAAGCCATTTCTTCTGTAGAGATGTACAAGGTCCTTTCTGGAGATTCTGACAGCTGTTAACGCCCAATAGGACAAGTTCACCATCCATTCCCTCTGTAGCCTGCTATCTGGAGGCTTCATCTACATAACAAAAACCTTGGCTTCTGCAGCCCCCTTTCTCTAAACCCAAGCATTTCTCTCCCGTGATTTCAAACTTTGCAGGCAGAGCTTGACCCTTTCAAGCACTTGCCAATCAAGAAGTCATTTCTTCTTTTTTTTTTTTGGAGACAGAGTCTAACTCTGTCACCAAGGCTGGAGTGCAGTGGGGCAATCTTGGCTCACTGCAACCTCCACCTCCCAGGTTCAAGTGATTCTCATGCCTCAGCCTCCCAAGTAACTGGGATTACAAGCATGTACCACCATACCCAGCTAATTTTGTTTTTGCATTTTTAGTAGAGACAGAGTTTTGCTATGTTGTCCAGGCTGGTCTCAAACTCCTGGCCTCAACTGTTCCACCTGACTTGGCCTCCCAAAGTGCTGGGATTACAGGTGTGAACCACCATTCCTGGCCTAAGAAATCTTTAAATTCACCTATGACCTGGAAGCCTGTCCCCTCTTTTTGAGCTAAACCAATGTGTCCCTTCCATGTGCTGATTTATGTGTCTGCCTGTAACTTCTGTCTCCCTAAAAGGTATAAAACTAAGCTGTAGGCTGGGCACAGTGGCTCACGCCTGTAATCCCAGCACTTTGGGTGGCTGAGGCGGGCGGATCACAAGGTCAAGAGATTGAGACCATCCTGGCTAACACAGTGAAACCCTGTCTCTACTAAAAATACAAAAATTAGCCAGGTGAGCTGGCGGGCACCTGTAGTCCCAGCTACTCAGGAGGCTGAGGCAGAAGAATGGTGTGAACCCAGAAGGCGGAGGTTGCAGCAACCCAAGATCGCACCACTGCACTCCAGCATGGGCGACAGAGCAGGACTCCGTCTCAAAAAAAAAAAAAAAAACAAAAAACAAACAAAAACAAAAACAAAAACAAAAAAACAAACTAAGCTGTAACCCAACCATGTTGGGCCCATGTTCTCAGAACCTTCTAAGGCTGTGTCATGGACCATGGTCCTTAATCAATGTAGAGGTTTATTTTGCCAAGGTTAAGACCTGTCTCAGAGGCCTTTTGGTTTGCAAATACATGCAAGTTATACATCTGTTTAAATCTAAAATGGTGAGATGTCTTGAAGTGAGGGCTTATGGGTCATAGGTAGATTCAAAGATGTTTCTGATTTGTAATTGGTTAAGGAAGGGAAGACTTATTTAGAAATCTGGGGTCAGCAGAACTAAAATGTTAACTGGCTTGTGGGGTGACTCTCTGCAGGACCCTCAGGAAGAAATTTATTTTTTTTATTTTTATTTTTTGAGATGGAGTCTCACTCTGTCACCCAGGCTGGAGTGCCGTGGCACGATCTCGGCTCACTGCAAGCTCTGCCTCCCGGGTTCACGCCATTCTCCTGCCTCAGCCTCCCGAGTAGCTGGGACTACAGGCACCTGCCACCACGCCTGGCTAATTTTTTTGTATTTTTAGTAGAGACGGGGTTTCACCGTGTTAGCCAGGATGGTCTCGATCTCCTGACCTCGTGATCCGCCTGCCTCGGCCTCCCAAAGTGCTGGGATGACAGGTGTGAGCCACCGTGCCCGTCCTCAGGAAGAAATTTAGAACAAAGCATGATGGCCAAAGCTCAGAGTTCCCACTCCCCTTGTCTTGGGTCTAAGTGCCAGTGCCACCCCCAATTCTTGTGCCTGCTTTTCCCAGCTCCGTGGGGGCCCCAAGTTCAGAGTCAGGTTTATGAGGGATGCTTCAACCTTCTGCTGTAGGAGAAACTGTAGACCCAGACACGGAGCCTGGAGGTTCAGCCCGAGTCCTGGTCACCAAGTTTTGTCCTCAATCTTTCTATAAACCATGGCTCTGAGGTGGAGCAGAGACCCTTCTTTTTAGGGGCCTGCAGAACTCACGTGTGAAAATAAAGGAAAATCTTGAGTTTCTACATGGAAAATTCCAGGTATCTAGCTAGCCTCAGATATAAAGAAGTAACTTGATAAACAAGAAGGTAATAGGCCAGGCAGGGTGGCTCATGCCTGTAATCCCAGCACTTTGGGAGGTTGAGATGGAAGGATCACTGGAGGCCAGGAGTTTGAGACCAGCCTGGGCAACATATAGGGAAACTCTGTCTCTACAAAAATTTTAAAAATTTAGCCAGGCATGGTGGCTCATGCCTATGGTCCCAGCTACTTGAGAGGCTGAGGTGGGAGGATTGCTTGAGCCCAGGAGTTTGAGGCTGCAGTTAGCTATGATTGTACTCACTGCACTCCGGCCTGGGTGACAGAGCAAGACCTTCTCTGAAAAAGAGGAGTGGGGAGGAGGGAGAAGGAGGAGAAAGAGGAGGAGGAGGAGGAGGAGAAAGCGGAGGAGGAGGAGGGAGAAAGCGGAGGAGGGAGAAAGCGGAGGAGGGAGAAAGCGGAGGAGGGAGAAAGCGGAGGAGGGAGAAAGCGGAGGAGGGAGAAAGCGGAGGAGGGAGAAAGCGGAGGAGGGAGAAAGCGGAGGAGGGAGAAAGCGGAGGAGGGAGAAAGCGGAGGAGGGAGAAAGCGGAGGAGGGAGAAAGAGGAGGAGGGAGAAAGGAGGAGGGAGAAAGAGGAGGAGGGAGAAAGAGGAGGAGGGAGGAGGAGGAAGAGGAGGAGGAAGAGGGAGAGAAGAGGAGGGAGAGAAGAGGAGGGAGAGAAAGAGGAGGGAGAGAAAGAGGAGGGAGAGAAAGAGGAGGAGGAGGGGGAGGGGGGAAGGAGGGGGAGGGGGGAAGGAGGGGGAAGGAAGAGGAAGTGGAGGGAGAAGAGGAGGGGGAGACGAAGGAGGAGGGAGAAGAGGAGGACGAGGAAGGAGGAGAAAGAGGAGGAGGAGAAAGAGGAGGAGGGAGAAGAGGAGGAGGGAGAAAGAGGAGGGAGAAAGAGGAGGGAGAAAGAGGAGAACGAGGAGGAGGAGCAGAAAGAGAAGGAGGGAGGAGAGGAGGGAGAAGAGGGAGAAGGAGAAACAGGATAAGAAGAAAGGAGGAGGAGGGAAAAGAGTGGGGGAAAGGAAGAGAAAGTGGAGGAGGAAGAAGAGGAGAAGAGGAGGAGGAAGAGGAAGAGGAGGAGGAGGAGGAGGGGGAGGAGGAGGAGGGGGAGGGGGAGGAGGGGGAGAAGAGGAGGAGGAGAACGATGAGGATGAAGGGGAGGAGGAAGGAGGAGGAGGAGGGAAGGGAAGGAGGGGGAGGAGGGAAGGGAAGGAGGGGGAGGAGGAGGAGAAGTGGAGGGAGAAGAGAAGGGGGAGAAAGAGGAACAGGAAGACAGGAAGAGAAGAAGGAGGGGGAAAGAAGGAGGAGGAGAAGAAAAAGGAGAAAACCAAACCACAGCATGCCCTGAGAAGGCAGAACATTCCATGAAGCTCTGAAGAAGTTAGCAAATGCTGCCTGAGAACGGATGTGCTCTCTCGGTTTTAACGGCTCCAGCATTAACTCAGTCAGGAAAGACAGAGCTCGGGGAAAGTTAAGTGTGACCTTATTCAGATGTGAAGAATTAGGCCAGGGGCAGTGGCTCACCCCTATACTCCTAGCAGTTTGGGAGGTCGAGGCAGGTAGATCACTTGAGGTCATGAGTTCGAGACCAGCCTGACCAACATGGTGAAACCCTGTCTCTACTAAAAATACAAAAATTACCTGGGCGTGGTGGCACATGCCTGTAATCCCAGCTACTCTGGAGGCTGAGGCAGGACAATCGCTTGAACCCAGGAGGCAGAGGTTGCAGTGAGCCGAGATCGCACCATTACACTCCAGCCTGGGCAACGAGAGCGAAACTCCATCTCAAAAAAAAAAAAGAAAGAAAAAGAAAAAAAGGCATGAAAAACTAGTGTTAGCAGGATCATAAACTTCCCGAGTGGTGATAACAGACAGACCCTGCAGAGAAGTTGCCAAGCCTCATCCTACTCACCCACCGCTCATCTCCAGCCTGAGAAGCTCAAGATTGAACTCTCCAGTCTGAGGACTGAGAAGAAAACATGGCAAGAAATGATCTGGCTGCAGAAGGTCCCTGTCCGAGACTTCAAATACCGATCCTGGAGAATGTGCTTCAGGTCTCGAAGCACCCGCTTCTCTTCAATTCTACTTTCTGACCATTTGGTGCAAAAAGCTGGCCAGGTTTGGCTTTTGCAAAAGACGCATTTGCCACAACCAGAGATTCGTACCTGCGGCACGCTCACCTTGCTGTTCCCTGAGGATGTCTCACATGAGGCAACGGGTCGGTGGGTGGTTTGCTGGATCACGTGCAAACCCAGGCAAAGAGGATCTGCTATTGCAGACTTCATTTCTGCAGCCTTGGAAAGCCGTCTCAGGCCGGGCGCGGTGGCTCACGCCTGTAATCCCAGCACTTTGGGGGGCTGAGGCGGGTGGATCACGAGGTCAGAAGTTCAAGACCAGACTGCTCAACATGGTGAAACCCCATCTCTACTAAAAATACAAAAAAAAAAAAATTAGCCGGGTGTGGTCGTGGGCGCCTGTAATCCCAGCTACTCGGGAGGCTGAGGGCAGGAGAATCGCTTGAACCCAGGAGACGGAGGTTGCAGTGAGCCAAGATGACCAATGCACTCCAGCCTGGGCGACAAAGCAAGACTCTGTCTCAAAAATAAATAAATAAATAAAGGAAAGCCATCTCAAATCTGCCTCTCGGAGGCTCACAGACAGACGCGAGCCGGTTTCTGTGCTATGAACGCTGACAGTTCGTCTTCACAGTCCAGACCCATCTACTTCACCCGTCCTTCAGAACCATGTCATCTCTGTGACTCAACTTATACATGAGTGGGCAGACTGCTCCTTGCTTCAGCCCAGGAGGCTCAATGCCCTCTCTTGGCTTGAAGGGAATGACAGAGAATCTCCCCCACTCCTTTTTTTTTTTTTTGAGTTAGAGTCTCACTCTCTCACCCAGGCTGCAGTGCAGTGGTGCCATCTTGACTCACTGCAACCTCCACCTCCTGGGTTCAAGTAATTCTCCTGCCTCAGCCTCCCGAGTCGCTGGGACTACAGTCACCCGCCACCAAGCCTGGCAAAGTTTTGTAATTTTAGTAGAGACGGGGTTTCACCATATTGGCCAGGCTGATCTCGAACCCCTGACCCTCAGGTGATCGGCCTGCCTCAGCCTCCCAAAGTGCTGGGATTACAGGAGTGAACCACGGCGCCCGGCCCCCTCTCCTTTTTTTCTTCAATGCCGAGAGCAGCAGCTTAGTAGACGGGTGAGGCACAGACCTTTGCTGAGTGGGCTAAAAAACAGGATGCATCTGGCTGGGCATGGTGGCTCACACCTGCAATCCCAGCACTTTGGGGGGTTGAGGCAGGCAGATTACCTGAGGTCAGGTGTTCCAGACCAGGGCCAACATGGTGAAACCCCGTCTCTACTAAAAGTACAAAAATTAGGCGGGCATGGTGGCATGCACCTGTAATCCCAGCTACTCAGGAGGCTGAGGCAGGAGAATCGCTTGAACCCAGGAGGCGGAGGTTGCAGTGAGCCGAGATTGCACCACTGCACTCCAGCCTGGGCGACAGAGCGAGACTCCAACTTAAAAAAATAAATAAAGAAAAACAGGATGCATCCAGCTTGTCTCACACACTCTACCCTGGGTTTATATTTATTTTCCACGAGGAAACATCCAAAATCAGGGGTCAGAGTCAAGGTTCCCCACCTTGTCCATGACGAGATGGGCCAGTCCACATCACAGGCACAGGTAGGAGACCCCAACACAGTGTCCACTGTTCACATTCTAAAGGTGACTGTCGGCCAGGCACGGTGGTTCACGTCTGTCATCCCAGCAATTTGGGAGGCCGAGGCGAGCAGATCATCCAAGGTCAGGAGTTCGAGACCAGCCTGGCCAACACGGTGAAACCCCATCTCTACTAAAAATACAAAAAATTAGCCAGGCGTGGTGGCACATGTCTGTAATCCCAGCACTTTGGGAGGCCGAGGCAGGCAGATCACGAGGTCAGGAGATTGAGACCATCCTGGCTAACATGGTGAAACCCCATGGCTAAAAATACAAAAAATTAGCCAGGTGTGGTGGCGGGCGCCTGTAGTCCCAGCTACTGGGGAGGCTGAGGCAGGAGAATGGCGAGAACACGGGAGGTGGAGCTTGCAGTGAGCCGAGATTGAGGCACTGAACTCCAGCCTGGGAGACAGCGAGACTCCGTCTCAAAAAAAAAAAAAAAAAAAAAAAAGAGTTGGAGACCAGCCTCACCAACATGGCGAACCCCGTCCCTACTAAAAATACAAAAATTAGCTGGGCATGGTGATGGGCGCCTATAATCCCAGCTACTCAGGAGGCTGAGGCAGGAGAATCCCTTGAACCTGGGAAGTGGAGGTTGCAGTGAGCCGAGATGCCGCCACTGCACTCCAGCCTGGGTGACAGTTTAAGACTCAGTCTCAAAAAATAATAATACTAATGAATACATAAATAAAAAATAAAGGTGACTGTCGGACCTCATCCCACCGCCAAAATGCACCTGCTGTGTCTAGTGTGCCTATTAGAGAGAAGAGGAGGCACTAGTGATTTCCATCTGGAACCTGCGGCATGTACAACCTCAACTTTCTGTCTACGCTGTGATGTGCGCCCTCAGAAGACTCCATCTCTGCACCTGACACGCAAATACCCAGGAGAGAGGGGGCAGATGAATAGCCACCGTCTTCTGTAGTTTATAAAAATGCTAGTTGTTCGCTTGAGGTCAGGAGTTCGAGACCAGCCTGGCCAACATGGTGAAACCCCGTCTCTACTAAAAATACAAAAATTAGGCTGGGTGTGGTGGGGGCACCTGTCATCCCAGCTACTCAGGACGGTGAGGCAGGAAAGTCGCTTGGACCCGGGAGGTGGAGGTTGCAGTGAGCCAAGATCACACCACTGCACTCCAGCCGGGTGATAGAGTGAGACTCCGTCACAAAAACAAAGAAACAAACCAACAACAACAACAACAAAACTCTAGTTGTGATATTTAGGGCCCATCTAAACAATCCAGGATGATCTCATGTTGAGAGGCTTAATTGTGACAGCAAAGACCCTTTTTTTTTTTTTTTTTTTTTTTTTTTTTTTTTTTTGAAATGGAGTCTTGCTCTGTCACCAGGCTGGAGTGCAGTGGCCTGATCTCGGCTCACTGCAACTTCCGCCTCCTGGGTTCAAGCAATTCTCTTGCCTCAGCCTCCCAAGTTGCTGGGATAACAGGCATGCACCACCGTGCCCGGCTAATTTTTGTATTTTTAGTAGAGACAGGGTTTCACCATGTGGGCCAGGCTGGTCTCAAACTCCTGACCTCGTGATCCACCCACCTCGGCCTCCCAAAGTGCTGGGATTACAAGCGTGAGCCACCGCACCCGGCCGACCCTTTTTTTTTTTTTTAAATAAAGTCACCTTCCCAGGTTTTAGGGAGAAGGGCACGGACTTATCTTTTGGGAGATGCCATTTAAAGCACTATGGTTGTTATCAGGCAGGTTCTTCAGAGGGGAGAAGAAACTGGATATTCCCGTGCCTCAGAGGAGCTAGGGGCCTGATATCAAAAGAGTAACAGAAAGTTAGCAGGCTCCAGCAGAAAGGAAGCACAGACATATCTACCCCAGCCAGCCCCTAAGACTGCGCTAAAAAACCAGGCTACATGCTTTCAGACCGTTTTGTTTGCAAGACAGAGCCTTGCTTTGTCGCCCAGGCTGGAGTGCAATGGCGTGATCTCAGCTCACTGCAACCTCCGGCTTCCAGGTTCAAACGATTTCTCCTGCCTCAGCTTCCCAAGTAGATGGGACTACAGGCATGCGTCACCGCACCAGGCTAATTTTTTCTTATTTCAGTAGAGACAGGGTTCCACTATGTTGTCCAGGCTGGTCTCGAACTCCTGACCTCAAGTGATCCACCCACCTAGGCCTCCCAAAGTGCTGGGATGACAGGTGTGAGCCACTGCGCCTGGCCTCCAGGGGGTTGTTTATTTTTATTATTACTATTATACTTTAAGTTCTGGGGTACATGTGCAGAACGTGCAGGTTTGTTACATAGGTATGCACGTGCCACAGTGGTTTGCTGCACCCATCAACCCATCATCTACATTAGGTATTTCTCCTAATGCTATACCTCCCCTAGCCCCTCACCCCCTGACAGGCCCCGGTGTGTGCTGTTCCCCTCCCTGTGTCCATGTGTTCTCATTGTTCAACTCCCACCTATGAGTGAGAACATGTGGTGTTTGGGTTTCTGTTCTTGTGTGAGTTTGCTGAGAATGATGGTTTCCAGCTTCATCCATGTCCCTGCAAAGGACATGAACTCGTCCTTTTTTATGGCTGCATAGTATTCCATGGTGTGTATGTGCCACATTTTCTTAATCCAGTCTATCATTGATGGGCATTTGGGTTGGTTCCAAGTCTTTGCTGTTGTCAACAGTGCCACGAGGGCGTCTTTTAAAGCCTGATGCTGACCGGTAGATTCCGGCGCTGTTGACCACTTCTGCCCCAAAGTGCCTACCCTGGAGACAGAGAGAGAAGACAGCGTGGGGCTGCAGGTGCACAGCCAGTGTACCTGCTCCTCTCTTGGATGTGCAAGATCTCCCCATGCAAACACTGAAGCAAGATTTTACTCTCCCAGCCCTCTTCTTCCCCACGCTGGCAAAGTGCTGAATTTTGGGGGTGTTCACCCAGACCTGGGTGCCTTCAACAGCCCCAAAACGTGAAAGCACATCAGACTAAAACACGCGTGGAAATGTGATTGTCTGCAGAAATTAGTTTAGGGAAGGATAGTGTGTTACAAGCAATGTCTGTGTTCTTTACCCCTGCAAAATAGGAATGAGACAGCTTTTGGAATAGGGTCTATGAAGATATCCTTCTTTTTTTTTTTTTTTTCAGATGGAGTCTCACTCTGTCACCCAGGCTGGAGTACAGTGGCGCAATGTCGGCTCAGCGCAACCTCCGCCTCCCGGGTTGAAGCGATTCTCCTGCCTCAGCCTCCCAAGTTGCTGGGACTATAGGCCCACGCCACCACGCCCAGCTAATTTTTATATTTTTAGTAGAGACGGTTTCACCATGTTGGCCAGGCTGGTCTCGATTCTTGACCTCGTGATACGTCTGCTTCAGCCTCCCAAAGTACTGGGATTACAGGCATGAGCCACCACGCCCAGCCATGCCCAGCTAAATTTTTGTATTTTTAGTAGAGATGGGGTTTCACCATGTTGACCAGGCTGGTCTCGATCTCTTGACCTCATGATCCATCTGCCTCAGCCTCCTCAAGTGCTGAGAATACAGTCGTGAGCCACTGCGCCCGGCCGGATGTCATTCTTTTGTTTCTGTCACTTGAGGAACTGATGCTTCCATACTTTTTTTGGGAATTGCACAGAGCCCTAAGTCTCCCTCTTTCTCTGTTATTAAGATTAGGAGTTGCTTGGCCAGGCATGGTGGCTCACGCCTGTAATCCCAGCACTTTGGGAGGCCAAGGCGGGTGGATCACGAGGTCAGGAGATCGAGACCATCCTGCCTAACACGGTGAAACCCCGTCTCTTCTAAAAATACAAAAAAAATTAGCTGGGCGTGGTGGCAGGTGCCTGTAGTCCCATCTACTTGGGAGGCTGAGGCAGGAGAATCACTTGAAACCGGTAGGCGGAGGTTGCAGTGAGCTGAGATCACACCACTGCACTCCAGCCTGGGCAACAGAGCAAGACTCAGTCTTTAAAATAAAATAAAAATTAACTGAGCCCTGTCTCAGATTTTCTGGGTTCACATTTGGCTGTCTGAATTCTCTCCATTTCTGATGATGTCAGCCTTTGTTTCTGCTTTACTTTAAAAGGCATTTTCACTGGTATGTTATTCCAGGCAGACAGATTTTGTTTGTTGATTGTTGGTTTACCTTTCAGCACTTAAAACAGATCACTCTCTGAATTCTGGTTTGCATGACTTCTAAACAAGAAGACTGTTGGCATTTGTATTTTTTGTTTGTTTGTTTGTTTGTTTTTTGAGACAGAGCCTCACTCTGTTGCCCAGGCTGGAGTGCAATGATGCAATCTCGGCTGACTGCAACCTCTGCCTACCAGGTTCAAGCAATTCCCCACCTCAGCCTCTCGAGTAGCTGGGACTATATGTGTCACCACCATGCCTGGCTAATTTTTGTATTTTTAGGAGAGACAGGGTTTCACCATATTGGCCAGGCTGGTCTCGAACTCCAGACCTCAGGTGATCCACCCACCTCGGCCTCCCAAAGTGCTGGGATTACAGGCGCCTGTAGTCCCAGCTACTTGGGAGGCTGAGGCAGGAGAATCATTTGAACCTGGGAGGCAGAGGTTGTGTGAGCTGAGGTCCTGCCACTGCACTCCAGCCTGGGCGACTGAACGAAACTTTGTCTCAAAAAAAAAAAAAAAAAAAAAAAAAAAAAAGTTATGCGTGCATTTCCCACATACCTGGGATATTCACATACTTGGAAGACAATGGAAGTGTCTCATCCCTCAGACTGAGCTGCCTGGAAGGAAGACACCCTCTCTTTCGGAGCCTCCAGGATCCCTAAGTGACCTGTCTGAGCTCAACTTCCCTAGAAGTGATATCCGACGTGCACCTGCCAGATCCCCGGGGAAACCTGGAGAAAGCACGGCCCCTCCTCCCCAGGCTGCCCCAGTTTGGGGAAGAAGGTTGAGTCATGGCTCTGTCCTATTAGTCATGGGCTGTCTGCTCTAATGAGAAATCAGTTCACCATCCAGGCTTCTCTGCTGAAGCGGCATCCACCAGCCCAGGGAAATTCCGACGAGGAGGGGATAGCCGGGAGCCATTAGCAGCCAGGACTCACAGCAGCTGGGACTTGCTATGAGTCCATCACATGGCTGGGGCACCAACACAACATCCTACTGAAGCCTCATGTGTGAGGACGAAGCTCTGATTTTTTTTTTTTTTAATCTTGCCTAAATTCCTATCTAAGGGGTCTGGGGGGGAGTCATGTCATACAAACCATAATACATTCTCATCAGATGGGTTTTATTTAACCCCGTAGATCGTGACTTACTTTCCCATCTGACTCTGGCATGGCAAGGAAGAAAATCAAAATATTTTACCCCCAAAACACATTTCTCTGCCATATTTTTTTTTATACTTTAAGTTTTAGGGTACATGTGTACAACGTGCAGGTTAGTTACATATTGTATACATGTGCCATGTTGGTGTGCTGCACCCATTAAGTGGTCATTTAGCATTAGGTTTATCTCCTAATGCTATCCCTCCCCCCTCCTCCCACCCCACAACAGGCCCCGGTGTGTGATGTTCCCCTTCCTGTGTCCAAGTGTTCTCATTGTTCAATTCCCATCTATGAGTGAGAACATGTGGTGTTTGGTTTTTTGTCCTTGCGATAGTTTGCTGACAAAGATGGTTTCCAGCTTCATCCATGTCCCTACAAAGGACATGAACTCATCATTTTTTATGGCTGTATAGTATTCCATGGTGTATATGTGCCACATTTTCTTAATCCAGTCTATCATTGTTGGACATTTGGGTTGGTTCCAAGTCTTTGCTATTGTGAATAGTGCCACAATAAACATACAAAGGACATGAACAGACACTTCTCAAAAGAAGACATCTATGCAGCCAAAAGACACATGAAAAAATGCTCATCATTGCTGGCCATCAGAGAAATGCAAACCAAAACCACAATGAGATACCATCTCACACCAGTTAGAATGGCAATCATTAAAAAGTCAGGAAACAACAGGTGCTGGAGAGGATGTGGAGAAATAGGAACACTTTTACACTGTTGGTGGGACTGTAAACTAGTTCAACCATTGTGGAAGTCAGTGTGGTGATTCCTCAGGGATCTAGAACTAGAAATACCATTTGACCCAGCCATCCCATTACTGGTTATATACCCAAAGGATTATAAATCATGCTCCTATAAAGACACATGCATACGTATGTTTATAAACATAAACTCACACCCTCAGCTCTCCTGGGTCTCAGGACTTCAGACTCAGACTGGAACTCACACCATTGGCTCTCCTGGGTCTCAGGCCTTCTGACTCACACTAGAATTCACACCTTCAGACTCAGACTGGAGCTGACACCCTCAGCTCTC